>NC_000012.12:29069686-29222381 GCF_000001405.40 Homo sapiens | reverse complement strand
TGCAATAGTCTTGAATAAAATCTTTCTTGACACTTAAAAAATGTGTTTGAATAATTTCTCTTTAACAATCAAAACAATGAAATATCACTATGATTGAAACATTAGTAAGTCTCTACACAAGGCAATGGGGACAAGTTCAAATAGATTGGAAGAGTATGTAATGCTCAGAGACCGATTTTCTTATAACAGTGAGTGATGAATGTGAAGAGTGGTCGATCATAAAAGAAAATTTGGGCCAGGCACAGTGGCTCATGCCTGTAATCCTAGCACTTTGGGAGGCCGAGGCGGGCAGATCACTCGAGGTCAGGAGTTTGAAACCAGCCTGCCCAACATGGTGAAACCCGTCTCTACTAAAAATACAAAAAAATTAGCTGGGTGTGGTAGTGGGCACCTGTAATCCCAGCTACTTGGGAGGCTGAGACAGGAGAATTGCTTGAACCTGGGAGGCGGAGGTTGTAGTGGGCCAAGATCATGCCACTGTATTCCAGTCTGGGTGACAGAGCGAGACTCCGTCTCAAAAAAAAAAGCAAGTTTGGAAAATTTGAAGCAATTCTCTGAGCAGCATCTGTAATTGTATTTCCCATTAAAAATAAAAGGTTTAAAGTCAACTCAGGATGACCCTAAAGCGAGCTCATTTTCTAAAATTGGTGGTAATAATAATGATATATCATTCTTACGTATATAGCATCATGCCTGGCTGCAGGATTAAATTGGGGGAGAAAACTGGCTTTGAGATAGACCATTTAGCAGGAAATAAAGTGTCTAAAATAATTTGACAAACTTGAAAGACAAAAGAGAAATCGAATAGATGGGGTATTTAAAGTAGTTAAATTTCATTCAGTCTGAATATGTGTGTACTAGAAGGAATTAATAGTTATGATATTTGCATTTTCCAATTGAAAACAATCCTTTAGTTTTCCAAATATATCAGTCAGATTGCAGAAACCCTAACTGGGAGACAGGGAAGAGGTTATGTTACAGTAGGTAGCTGGTCAGGCAAGAGCAGGGTGGGAAAAGGCTCCCCGCCCCGACCAGGAATGTCAGGCAACCATCAGATGATGGTCAGGTGGTTATTACACTTTCTCTAAAATAATAATTGGTCCTAGTCGGCATCAGGGAAAGGCAGTTCTCCCAATAAGTAGAAAAACCTGAAACTGGTGATTAGCTTCCAGATAAGATCTCTGGAGTTGGGCAAGTGGGCTTGAGCATGCGCACTAAGAGGTAAAGCGGCTGATTTTACGGGTATATGACCTTACAGGAATACGCCCCTGGTAAGGGAGTGTTGTTACCAGTTATTGGAGTTGTACGCACGCTCACTTCATGCCTCAAGTGAGCATGCGCACAACTCCAGTAAACACACTGCGCCAGTAGCCCCTCCCAAGCGCTGGCAGCCCAATGTGGATAAGGACAGCCTGCCCCAAGGGAAGAATCGGGGAGAAGGGACACAAGACCCCAGAAGTATGCCAACATATAAAACCCTAAGTCGAAGGTCAAACCATGCACTTGATCTCTCACGTCGCCTGCTTGGCCCTCTTCCAAGTGTACTTTACTTCCTTTGATTCCTGTTCTAAAGCTTTTTAAATAAACGTTCACTCTTGCCTCGGACTCTCACTGTGCCTTTTGTCCCTTGGTCAAATTCTTTCTTCTGAGGAGGCAAGAATTGAGGTTGCTACAGAATCGTATGGATATCCCACTGGTAACATACTTTGGTGCCGTGTGACTGGGATGTTACACTGCTAACAATGAGAGAAAATGTTGATGAATGGAGAAAAAAATGGGCATTTACACTAAATATCATAAACAATTTTTTGTCAGTTACTTTTTAAATAGGTAACCACCATATTTTCTTGAAGTATAAATAGTAAAAAGGCCTTGATTTTAAAGCTCAAATTGTAGATTTCTGCATACTCATCCATTAAATTAATAGAGAAACGTAGCAAGTCATTTAAGAGCACAAATTCCACCTCTCTTAAGGATTACTACAAATTAAAATCTTTCCTATATGCTCAAAGACATTAACCCATAGGATTCCCTATACCTTTTGATTTATGGAAAGAAACTAGACTAAGTCTTGCACTGTACTCCGGGAAAGAGCTTTGAGTGGGTGATGCTCTAAATCTATATCTGACATTCATCATCAGGGAAAATGTAACCAAGAAAGGGTCTGCATGGAGGAAGTGAAAGAGGTCTTAACGAAAAATTGACACAGCCAGAGTCCATTAAAAATTCACCTTGAACGTCAAAGCAAAGCCCTGGGTTCTAGTGCCAGCTCTGTTTCTAATTAGTACTGTGACTACTGCCAGGACTCAACTGGATCATTTGTAATGTGCAGGGATCATAATATCTAAGTACCCCACTAGCTCTAAAATTCCTTGATTTGTAATGGGTAATCAAATACAAAATAAAATAATTGATTTTAAGCACAATAATAAAAGATTGGCTCCAAAACACTTCAGATTCTGGGTTTCTAAATCTGGCTTGAATGTTTCTCTTTTTCATTCAATTTTTCATCCTCAAAAAGGAAAAGAAAAGTTTTCTTTATTTGAGTTCTTAAAAAAACATAGCTTTTAGGATAAAGGAAAACGATGATATCACTTTCCTCCTTTGGGGGTCTTCTGGAAATGAAAGAGCTGCTGTCAGCATCACAGATATGGGCATTGGCAGAATGACTTATATGTATGTAACCAAGCCAGTTTCAGTTTTTAAGCATTTAAATATATCTAAATTTCAATGGTTCCTTCTCTTTTTTTTTTCTTGTCTACTCAGAGTTAAAACACATTTACTATAAATTATTATCAGAAGGTTTTCTCATATCCATGATGCAGATTCCCTAGGTACTCATCTAGGTGCTGATGTACAGCAGTGAACTAAACAAAGTCCCTGTTCTCATGGAGTGTGTCCTCTATCAGACCTGTCCTGCTTTAACAATATTGAAAGTTCCTGTTTATGTAAAAGTATGAGGAAAATAAATACCACCTATGTTATGTTATGATATTGTTCCACTTGCTTCAGGTATTCTTTTCCCCAAGAGAGATTATAGCAATTTACAATCCCAGCAGCAGAGTAATTTTTATTTTACGTATTGAACATTACTTTAGTGTTTACTATGGGCCAGGCTGTTTGATCCTCATATAAATAAATCCTGTGAGGTAGGTAATAATAGTACCTATCTGGGGTATAGAATTCTAACGTGGGCTGGGCACAGTGGCTTATGCTTGTAATCCCAGCACTTTGGGAGGCAAAGGTGGGTGGATCACTTAAGCCCAGGAGTTCAAGACCAGCCTGGGCAACATGGTAAAACCCTGTCTGTACCAAAAATGCAAAAATTAACCAGGCATGGTCTCATGTGCTTGTAGTCCCAGCTACTCAAGACGCTGAGGAAAGGGGATTGCTTGATCCCAGGCAGAGGTTGCAGTGAGCTGAGATGGCACCACTGCACTCCAGCCTGGGCGACAGAGCAAGACCCTGTCTCTAAATAAATAAATAAATAAATAAATAAAATTCTAACACGGAAGGTTTCTATTTTCAGCATTTAAAATATATCATTCCATTATCTTCTGATTTTCATGGTTTCTGAGAAGTTTGCCGTTATGCTCACTGTGCTTTTCCTAAATATAACTTTTTCCCCTTCTAGCTGCTTTTAAGATTTTTCTCTGTATTTTTGTTTTACAGTCATTTTCTAGGTGTTATTTTCTTTGTGTTCATCCTGACTGGCATAACCTAAGATTTTTTACCATGTGAGTTAACATTTTAAAAACCAATTTTGTAAAACTCTTAGTGATTCTTTTCAAATATTTCTTCTGCCCTATTCTTTTTCCTGTCTTTCTGGAACTTCAGTTACACATATATTTGACTGTTTGAGATTGTCCATGTGCTTTTTCATTCCCTGTTCAGTTTTAGCTTTCATTCCTTTCTTTTCTCCTTGCTTCAGTTGGGATCATTTCTATTAATACACCTTCAAGTTCACAGATTCTTTCTCTCTTCTGTGAATATTATATAATCAAGCCCATCTTTTTTTTTTTTGAGACGGAGTCTTGCTCTGTCACCCAGACTGGAGTGCAGTGGCATGATCTCGGCTCACTGCAAGCTCCACCTCCCAGGTTCACGCCATTCTTCTGCCTCAGCCTCCTCAGTAGCTGGGACTACAGGTGCCCGCCATCATACCTGGTTAATTTTTTTTGTATTTTTTAGTAGAGACAAGGTTTTACCGTGTTAGCCAGGATGGTCTGGATCTCCTGACCTTGTGATCCTCCCGCCTTGGCCTCCCAAACTGCTGGGATTACAGGCGTGAGCCACCACACCCGGCCAATCAAGCCCATCTTAATTTTAGATATTTATCATTCAGTTCTACAGTATCATTTTATTATTTATTCTTCCTCCTCCTCCTCCTCCTCCTCTTTGTCTTCTTCTTCAGAATTCCATTTCTTTTTTGGAATTCTACATTTCTTAGTTCATTTTATGTTTCTTTTCTATTAATTTCTTTAACACGTTTGCAATAGTTATTTTAAAGAGCTTTCCTGTGAATTCCAACATTTGTGTCCTCTATGTGCTATTTCTATTGACTAGCTTTTTTCTCTTGACTATGGGTCACAGTTTCCTGTCATAATTATTTATTTTATGCTGGAACATTGTATTTTAAAAAACCATATAAAGGGGAGTAAATATATTTTTCTCCAGAGAGGCATACTGTTTTCTCTGTTAGACAGCTAGGGAGAGTTTAATTACTTCAATCCAATCAGGAACTGAGTTGGGTTGAAGCTGAATTTAAATTTTGGTAAGTTCCAGCTCACATCTGATTTTGAATATCTTTAGGATGAGATGTGTCCTGTGTGTATTATAGGCTTTTTCTTCTAGCTTGACTTTGGATTTTAAGCACCAGGAGTTAATGGAAATCTCTCTCTGCCTTTCTAACCCCACCTCCAGCTTCCTGTACTGCTTCTTCTGGAAACTCAGCAAAAGTCCCATGGGGACAATCAGCAGCTAGGAAGAATCAGCTCTATGTTTTGGGTTCAGTTTTTACTGTTGCAATCTGTCATGCCAGCTAAGATTCTTGGTGTAATACTTGTTTCTCCTTTCTTCAGAAAGGTCTCAAGCCAGATTCTCCACCTTCCCATACCCGGACTGAGCAGATGCCTCCAGGAAAGTGACCTCTAGCATTCACCCATCTAGAAAGGACTTCTCTAAATTTTCATTTCTTTAGACCATTTTTATTTGTAGTTTTTTGAAGTTTTTTAAAAAGTGTATGATAACTTATCTATTTTTCCTACATTCTAGTCAGAATATCCTAATCTCCTACATTTTAACCATGTGCCTGGTAGGGGTAAGTTATACTAAAGAGCCAAAATATTTTTTAAATGTGTCATTTTCTTTTAGTCTTTAAATGCCAGCGATTAGAGAGCCTTACCTTATGACGGATAGCTCTGGTGTTGCATTATTGTTATTCGTTTAGTTTCTTTGGCAAAGTACTGTGAATATCTGAGCACACATCTACCATTGTACACCAAAGTGCTTTGTAGCTCTTTTGATAAAATCTAGTTTCTCCTACGTGATATGAAAAGTTTAATAATTTGACATTATGGAAGCAAAATGCTGGACTTATATTTTGGTATATTTTTGGAAGTCTAAAATATTGAAATGCCTGAAATTAACTCAAAATGCTATATGTTCTGGGCTGTCAGAAAGAAAAATAAAACCCCTGAAAAGGCTAACAGCAGCCTTTTTTTTCAGCTGTTTCTTATTAGCTGCAGGTTGTTATGATGTGAAGGCATAAAGTGCAGTTGATGGGGTTAGGAGATTTGAAAGGTTTTATAATCAGTGGGCGCTCACATGTAAAATTTTGTAGAAGTTTCCCTTTCTGAATCAGGCTTAAAATGACATAGATCCTTATCTCATTGCAGCATCTGCTGTACACATGAGAGCAATAAGAGATTCCCAGAGTCAATGAACCCAAGATCCCCAATCCCCATCAACTCCATGAACTGTGTGTGACCAAAGCCCTAAAGGACAACAACCAAAGGGGAGGAAATTCCTGGTAACATAAAAACATAACAGTATTGGGCAGTATCATTGAAGATACCAGTGAAATAGAGCAGTCATTGGGTGGGACGTTGTAAATAAGACTGCTGAAGGACAGGGCTTTCTAAAAAGGCTTCCCTGAAGAAAATTACCATGGAGGAGCCTGGAGGTAGATAGTGTCAGATGAGAACTGTTTCTAGATTAATTAATTTAAGGTAGTTCCTAACACTCTGGAAATTGTCACAGTCCCATGAGGTTTCAGAGACCAGCTGAAGATCTGGGTAATATCTTGCTTAATCAGAAGGGCAAGGGATTCAGTTAGGGATATAAGTTTACTTCAGCCTGTGGCACAATTTGGGGTGCCCTAACTCAGCCCAGAGAGCTGAGGTAGAGTTATGTTGACCATGAGGATGCAGAAGGGTGAACCCTAGGAGGAGAAGGATTCATAGGGCCATGGTTATATATTTAAAGCTCTCCTTGGACCTCAAACTCAATGAGAGTAAGGGAAATCGTTCTTATACTCTTTTAAAAATAATTTGTGCATATCACATATTCATTCCATTTAATGACTATTTTTGTTTATATATTGATATATTAATTTTATTTATAAACTATAACCACAGTGTGTCTAAGATAGGCCTTGGTGACAGTGGAACCAACATAGAATCTGTGGTTTGGATTCTAAAATATTTAATGATAATTACCTCAAAGTTAAGATTTTGTTAATATGAAGCTATTACAGACATCCTCAAAGACACTGAATTTACCTAAAAGTGCATATTGATAACAGATTTGATTTTTTCCTAACATCTAAATTACTGTTTCCAAGAAAGTGGGATTTTTCTTTATTTAACAGATACGTTTCTTAATTATTTGATCAGTTTCCATGTCAAAAATAATGTACAAATGAAAGATGCCTGTGACTACGGGAGCTTAACCAAAACAACAGACCAAACATAACATCAATATACAGCTTAAGCTCATTCACTCATCTTCTTACAAACATTTCTACATCTTTTATTTTTCTTTCCCTTTCTTTGTTTCTACCTCTTTGTTGGACATACAAGACAAAAGCATGAGGTTTCTTGTTTTTTAAATTTAATAAAGCTTTATGTACTATGGTCTTCATATTTAGCTCAGAAGTATGTATCTATTTTTGTTAATCAAATGAAATGTAAACTCTTCATTATACATCAAGATCCTACATGAGCTGTCTCTCATTACATATCCATTTCTCTCTCATGACTACACTGTAGGTCCTTTAATAATTTTTCTGATTCTTGAACATGCCACAGTCATTTCTGCCTCAGAGATTTTGCCTTCGCTCTTCTTTGAATATTATACTCTTGCACTAGATCTTAGCATGACTGCTTCTTTTATTACATTCAGGTCTCAGCTCACAATTTCAATTTCTCAAGAATGCCTTTCTCACCTTTCTCTAGCCACCCACTAATCTAATTCTCTCTTTCCCTGTCGTCAGTCATATCACCTATGTTCACGTTCTTTATTTTTTTAATTATTATTATTATTATTATCATTTTATTTTCAGATGGAGTTTCTCTCTGTTGCCCAGGCTGGAATGCAATGGTGCAATCTTGGCTCACTGCAACTTCCACCTCCCTGGTTCAAGCCATTCTCCTGCCTCAGCCTCCTGAGTAGCTGGGATTACAGGCACCCACCCCCACGCCTAGCTAATTTTTTTATTTTTAGTAGAGATGGATTTTACCATGTTGGTCAGGCTGGTCTCGAACTCCTGACCTCAGATGATCCACCCACCTCAGTCTCCCAAAGTGCTGGGATTACAGGCATGAGCCACTGTGCCCAGTCCCATGTTCCTGTTCTTATTCATGTTCATGTTCTTGTGTTCTAGGTTCATGTTCTCATTTATTTATTTGCTAAACCAGCTTTCCTTAAATAATGTAAGTTCCACGAGGACAGAAACATCGTCTGTCTCATTACTTCTGTTTCACCAGCAATTAGAACACTTTCTGGCACATGATAGGCAACAAACATGAAGAAATGAGTGAATAATTTTTTTCTCTTCATTTAGAGTGTGTAATGTGCTCCTAGTAAGGCCTACTTTATATGCCTGAAGTCTGGTTAGGAAAAATATTGCATCAACATTTAATCAGCAAGTGGTATTCTCAAATACCATGCATAAAATCACTAAGCAAATCAGAAGAGCAATATTCTTTCAGTATTATTGGAATAACGCATCCAAGCTAAAAGCTTCTTGAAAGACAGGTTGACAAATTAAATGAAAATTGATGACTTGGATGACGAAATGTGCTTAAATTTGCAAGTGTGCTCAAATGTGATGGCATTTCTGAAGGCAAAATAAGAAACTTTGAGGTGTGGATTTGGGGTAACTCTGGAGTGGAACTTCAGATTATATTTATTATTAATCCAAAGCTCTCTGGTGTTTTCTTATACAAATTATTGGTTCTAATCAGACTCCTTCCATTAACTGCCACAAAGTTTGCCATCTTGGGGTTGAGTGGAGCTGGGTAAATTCATTTAAAGGGAAGTTTACTTAAAGGAGGTCAAAGCATGAAGGATGGAGATGGTTTAGGTTGACTGCGGCACACATTTTGTAGAAGGCAACAAAGGGGATAGGGCAAGAAGAATAAGTTGGAAACCAATTACAGATAGACTTAATCTTTTTTTTTTTTTTTTTGAGACAGAGTCTCCTTCTGTCACCCAGGCTGGAGTGCAGTGGCACGATCTCAGCTCACTGCAACCTCCGTCTCCCGGATTCAAGCGATTCCCCTGCCTCAGCCGCCTGAGTAGCTGGGATTACAGGCGTACACCACTACACCCGGTTAATTTTTGTATTTTTAGTAGAGACAGGGTTTCACCATGTTGACCAGGCTGGTCTCAAATTCCTGGCCTCAGGTGATCTACCCGCCTTGGCCTCCCAAAGTGCTGGAATGACAGGCGTGAGCCACCGCGTCCGGCTGATAGACTTAATTTTATTGTACTCATATATGGCAGGGGCCTTTATGATTCAGTGCTCATATGTGCCCTCATTTTGTATTTCTATTAATGTTCTATGGCCTCTGCAGTGAATTTGTGTAGGTTTTACCCATAGTAATTTTATTCCAGTAAGGGCTATTATTAGAGTCCTACTCATCTTCTGCTTGTTGCTACAATAAAACACATGCTAAGGGAGCTGAACTTTGTCACTTTGAAGGAGGAAATGGTGAGACGCCAAATGCTTCTGAATAGGAGACTTACAAGGCAGAGATATTCTGTAGGGATAAATTTGATGGACTACACACTATATATGGGAAGGAAGTTTGAAGAAGGAAAGACCAATTATTATGCTATTGTAATTTTTAGATAAGAGACAACAAAACCTATCCTGTGACTTAGTGGAATGAAGAAGGGATGAATGACACTACAAAGGAAAAATGATAATAATTATTTAGCCCTTATTTTGTGCAAGTTACTCAGCTAAGTATTTTACACGTTATCTTGTTTGATGTTAAGAAACATGCCCAAGGGCATTCAGCTATTAATAGCAGGATAATTCAAACCCAAGTTTGGCTCCTGCAAAAACGATTCTGCTAACCATGAGACTATAGCAACTGGTTATAATTATGGAGAAAGAAGAAGTAGTTAAAAAGAAGTTTAGGTAATAAAACTTGGTAATGCCGTTTTATGGGGGAAAAGGATGAATATCATTTGGATATCTCAAGTTTGCAGTATTGGCTGGGAATGTAGGAGGGCAATTTCAGGAGATGGTGGAAACTCAGGTCTGGGGACCTGGCAAGAATTCAAAGCTGGACACAAATTTGGGGGTCATCTATATATGGAATAGAATATAAATTATGAGTAATTATGCCAAATGATAGGAAAAGAAGACATAAGAAAAGGAGATAAAAGATAGCATTCTGAGTTATTGTAAGTATAGAAGATTTAAAACAGGACAGAGAAGAGCAGTTAGAGCAGTAAAAGTGAAACCAAGGATGGAGGTCACAATCATGGAGTGGAACTACCAAGGACAGTTAGTGGTTAGGGGTAAATGGAATAGAATGGTCAGCAAGAATAAAGACCTAAAATGGGTCACTAGATTCAGCAATTATTTTTTTCTAAAAGAACATATTCATTTTAATTTTAAGGCAGAGGTAGAAGTGGAAGCCAGATTTTTAAGTATTTGCTTTAAGTTGTCTCAGGATTAGATTCATATAATTTTATTGGTAGTAGCTTGATGAATAGGTATTTGTTCTCAAAAAATAGGATAAAATATTTCTGAACGTACTTTGAGAATTTGTCTTTTATTTATTTATTTTGAGACAGAGTCTTGCTCTGTCACCCAGGCTGATCCCTCTGAAGGCACTAGGGAAGGATCTGTTCCAGGCCTCTCTCTCCTAGCTTCTGGTATTTTGTTGGCTCATGACAGCAAAACTTCGTTATTCACATGGTTTTCTCCCTGTGTGTGTGTGTGTCTCTGTGTCCAAATTTTCCCTTTTCATAAGAATACCAGTCATACTAGATTAGGAGTCCACTCTGCTTTGGGATGACCTCGGCTTAAGTAATTATATCTGTGACAACAGTTATTTCCAAATAAAGTCACATTCTGAGCTACTGGGATTAAGACTTCACCATATGAATTTTGGTAGAACATGATGCCACTCACATAGCACCATCTTTTTCAATCTATTTTTTCTGCAGCTATGATTTTTCTACAGCTATGAAGTTACAGGGAGTTGATTCTCTCGTAAGTCACCATTGCAGCTCAGTAACTTAAAGGGTCAGTTGCTCGCTTATGATGGCACAACTACTGCAATAGGAGCAGAAAAACCTGCATTCTGACCCTGAGCCAACCAGTTACTAGACATGCACTGAATTTTTCTGAATATAGTTTTCTAAACTTGTTGATATACTTAACTTGCTAGGATAGACTTATGTGACAACATTATGATCGGTCAAATATAATAATGTATATGCATTTCATAAATGTAAAGCACTCTTTAAAGTCTTAGAAAGAGGCTAGGAGGAGCTTATCTGTCTTTTTGACTGGGTTATGTAAGAACACCCACAAGATATTCAAGATATTCTTTTTTTCTTTTTGAGACGGAGTATTGCTCCATTGCCCAGGCCGGAGTGCAGTGGCGTGATCTCCGGTCACTACAACCTCCGCTTCCCAGGTTCAAGCAATTCTCCTGTCTCAGCCTCCCAAGTAGTTGGGATTATAGGTGTGAGCCACCGCACCTGGTCCACAAGATATTCTTAAGAAGAAGAATGCAACTCAGCAGAAGCCAGACTAAAAATCAACCCTACAGAGATCAGTTTCATGAAAACCTACATATGGCTAATATATATATATGCACACACACACACATACACACACACACTATAGGCATGAAAGTAGTAAATGACTCTCCCACTTATAAGAATGATATAGTTTTTTTTTTGTTTTTAAGACGGAGTCTCACTCTGTCACACCCAGTACAGTGGCACAATCTTGGCTCACTGCAGCCTCCGCATCCCGGGTTCAAGTGATTCTTCTGCCTCCAGAGTAGCTGGGACTACAGGCCCATGCCACCGCACCCGATTAAGTTTTCTATTTTTAGTAGAGACGGGGTTCCAGCATATTGGCCAGGCTGGTCTCAAACTTCTGACCTCATGATCTGCCCACCTTGGCCTCCCAAAGTGCTGGGATTACAGGCATGAGCCCAGCCAATACAGTTTTACAAGAGTTAAAAAAGAAATCATATTTGGAATGGCCAGCTTAGTCCTCTGCCAACTGGCATCACAATGAATATGTAACAGAAAGCCTAAGTCACTGCGGAATATTCATCTATTCTTATTGCCAGAATCTCTACTGTTTTTATATACATAAATATATTTTTACATACAATAAGGCCAAACCACTAGCAACTGAAGACATGGCTGGCCACTTATGGCATAGCTCTTCCTGACGACATGCACCTCTGGTGTGAGGTGGCACAAAGAACCTGGGCTTGGAAATCAGTCTTGAAATAGACACTTGCAAGGTCCCGACTTTGGATAGTATTTTTGAGTTTCTGTTACCTTGATTAGAGTATCTTAGAGTAAACACTGATAAACTGTCTAGCTTGTGATAATAATTGCTTTTTTTCTAAAACAGAATTAATTTAACTAATTAACTAATAAATATTTAATTAATTTATTTTGAGAGAGGTTCTCACTCTGTCACCCAGGCTGGAGTGCAGTGGCATGATCCTAGCTCTGTAGCATTGACCTCCGGGGCTCAATTGATCTTCCCACTTTCAGCCTCCAAGTAGCTGGGACTACAGGTGCACGCCACCACACCCGGTTGATTATTTTTATTTTTATAGAGACAGAGGTCTCCTTATATTGCCCAGGCTGGTCTTGAACTCCTGGGCTCAAGCAATCTTCCTGCCTCAGCTTCCCAAAGTGCTAGAATTACAGGTCTGGGTCACTGTACCCTGCCTAATAACAATTGTTATGATGCTGATGAGATGAAGTAAGAAAAGCATAAGAAACCATAAGAAATTAAATGAATTGCCAAAGTCACAAAATTAGTGTATGTAAATGAGTATTGTGAGGCAGGGCTGAAATTAAAATCAGCTCATCTGCTTTTTAGTTCACTATTCTTTCTTTTACGCATTCTTTTATTCTTTCTTTTACACACACAGACACACACACACACACACACACACACAGAGCAGACATCCTTCTTTGTAGCAGAAAAGAGTTGACATATTCTTACAAACTAGTGGCAAGGAAGCAAGCCCACAATATTCATTTCTACACAGCCAGCCTAGCAAACCCATCTTCCAGTTTTCCTCCAGCAGAACTGGAATTTCAAGGGCCAGCAGTAACTTCTTCCCAGGGTCAGAGGCAGTGAAATCACCACTCCTACTACTGACCCAACCTGACCTTTGAAAACTATTAAATGCTATCTGTCCTAAAGGAAGACACCACTTTATGAGCTGAACAGGTTCAGTTCTAGAAGACTTGGAGCCCAAGATAGTCCAACCTCAAAATCAATACATTGACGATTGACCTGATGCATCTTATCTAAGGTAAGAAAGAAGATAGTGAGAGAAGACTTTAAGCATAGGAATACACTTGTAAAATCAAAAGCATCTCTAAAGGCAATAACTGCTGAAAACACTGATGCCAGGGGACAGCATTTTGTTACTCATTAAAGTATATGATCTCTCACCTTCCTCTTTAGCTGGAAACATTATATGACCCTTGGACTCTTCCAGTGAAATTCCCCGTGGGTCTTCTTATTGCTTTTCCTGTGTAGTACTTTTTTTTTTTTTTAAGATTAGTTCAGGTCTGAATTACCTCCTGCCTGAATTTCTGCAATAGCCTCTGAGCCTGTCTTCTGACTTGCCTCGTTCTCCCTTTTGAGTAGTCTGTGTGTCTTCATCAGACTAAACCACCTAAAGCAGGTTGGTTTCCTCACATTAGCTTCTATTTTGCCACACCGAGGTTGCATTTTGCCATTGGAACATTCTCCCATGATTTTGCTCATTTTCCCCGCACTACTAAGAAATAAAATCCTACTCATTAGTCCAATTCTAGGTTTCAGATAAACACTCCAGTGCACACAATGATTTCCTTTTCAGAATGTGTCCTGCAGCTGTTGTAAACATCTCTCACTTTAGCATTCATTTACTCTCTAATTAGCTCATATTTTATAATTTTGTCTCCAGAGCTAGACTGGCCAACAGGTGGGCATTTTTTTTTTCTCTCTGGCACTCAGCTCAAGACCAGAGTTTTAATAAACACTTCCTGATACCTGAATAACGCAGAATTACACTTCTTGTGAAGCCAACCACAGTAAACCTTTGAGTAAAATCTGATGATAGAAATATAAATGATGTATAAACAATATAACAATTGTGATCATTACATAGTTGCATGCCACACCTTAAGAAAGGTTACACGGTAAAATTAAGAGGGAACATTTTCTGCCTCTTGGCCTCCTCTTTCAATGGACCAAGTAGTAGGACTGCAGTTCCCACCTCACCACAGTCTGGGCTGCAGACTGCCCTGTCTAGCCTGTGTCTGTTCAGTGATGCTGAGTGGGAGTAGAGGGTAGGAACTGAAACACTCTGTGGAGGTCACCAGCAGTGCCCATGGTCTTTAAACTTCAGTTCAGAGGAAGAAGGGCAGCAGGAGGATTTCCGTTGCTTTTAGAATGTAGTTTTTCTGCAGAGATGCTGCAATCATGCTCAAAGCTCTTGCCCAGCTAGGAAATGCTGAGCTTCTAGTCAGCTGCAAAGCAACACACTTCTTTTAATACTAATACACAAACTGACTTGAAATACTATTTTATATAAGTTTTTAAAACATATTTCATAGGGATGGGGATCTCGGTCTGTTGACTAGGCTGGGCTTGAGCTTCTGGACCCAAGTAATCCTCCTGTCCTGGCCTCCCAAAATGCTGGGACCACAGGTGTGAGCCACCATGCCTGGCCTAAATAAGTCTCACCATATGAATAAGCAAAGACTTACAGTTAATGTGCTGTGTTCAAGTTCCTGCATTAGGACAGTAGTGTGAAATTTATTTTCTTTAAAGGTCTAACAGAATTTTATCTGCAAAGAGTCTTATAAAGTGCCAGCTGTAAGCTGAAATATTTCCTTTTAGTTAGGCAGTCCTCTTCACAAATAATCTATCCCTATGTATCATCTGTCTATCTATCCATCCATCCATCCAGTCTGTTTCAGCCCAATATTAGCCATAATATGATCATAACTTTACCCAGGTCCATTCTTCAAAAAAGGGAAAAAGAGAAAAAAAAATCAGAGAAACGAGAACAAACCATAGTAGCAAGTAAATGGAAACTGTAGTGAAAGCATCCGTAATTCTGGAGGTGATAGTGCCGACTCCCTTTGTCCTTGTAAATGGGATGAGAACCCAGGGTGGCCTGCTTTACCTTGTTGGAGAGACTAAATTTGCTGCCTCTTGGTGACCCCTCCTGGCTACTACTCAGGGGAATTCTACATAGTACTTGTACTTTCTGAATCACATTCCCATAGTATCAGCCAGGATCCTGTATTTGAGAGAATGAGGAACTGGTGAAGTATTAGCATGTGTCTACACTTATTTCCTGTTAAACCGAAGTTTCTAAGCAGGGGGCCAGAGTGGGAAGTGAGGAAATACATGATACGGAGGAAAGCAAATATTTCTCCAGCTGAAAAAGTCAGGCGTTGTGGCTAAATTTACTCCATTGTCCTCAACAGAAGAAAGATTGTCAAATACGTTTCCAAATTCCTTGGCCTGGTATGCAAGACCATTTAAGAGTCAGATGCAACCTGACTTTTCTGCCTTCTCTCTTTTTTTCTCTCACACCAACTTTCTCCTACAACCAAACAAGCTTTGGTTGGCAGACCAAAGCTTGTTTGCTGAAACCTTTATGTCCTTCTTCAGACATTCCCACTCCTCTTCTGTGCCCGGCTGGTGGCATCCTATTTGGCATTTTTTGAAATCTTTCCAGATGGCCCTTATGTCCAGGGTGGGTTGAGAATCACTGACCTATCCGATGCTCACACCAAATCTGACTTCATCCCTGATGCCTGCCCACGCTACTCTGGGATGCCAGGTGTGTCTCTCTCCACCAAGCCCACTGTAGTTACATCAGTCCTTTGGCAAGTAAACATGAACTGCCTTATGTCATTTCATATTATCATCTTCTTTTATTCCTATTTAACACTTAGCCTATTCTTTCCCTTCCTTAAATGTCTGTGTGTCTTAATTCCCCAATTAGAGGCAGAAATTGTGAGAATTGAGTCCCACTGTGCCTTCCATTTAGTTAGGGGTCAATAAATATTTTTGATTGCCTGAAAGGGGCCAGAGGCACTAAAGCAAAGCCAAACCATTATTTTATCCATGACAGCCACAGATGAACTTTGTGGGAAAGTTGTGTGCCCTGTGGTACCATGGGGCAGGGCTCTCAGGGTCTGAGGCCTTGTGCCAGGTTAAATATATGCCAGCATCTGGAACATTTCAGTACATTTTCTCAATCAGTCTTAGCACAGATGAGCCAAGTATTTGTATCAGGTAAACTCTGGCGTCACCTTTGGAATATACTGGCTTAATTGCTCCTGGTACCAAATCTCGAAGGAATGTTGCAACAATCTGAAAAAGTTCAATAGGCAATAGAAGTCACTGTGATCCAATATGCAAAACCTGATGAAAGACAAGCTGCTTGGTTCAATTCTGCACAAGGGTGAGGACTGCTGGATCTTTGGGTGGTCCTCATCCATTCCCTTGGGAAACAAGTCAGACAAATAAGTGGTATAGAACCATTCTCACTGGCTGAATATGCTTCCCAGCAATGACTAGTGAGTATCTGAGAGTAAATGAAAGGGAAACACTATTTAATAAATTGCATCTTTATTATGCTTCTACTCCTGGGAGATAGCTACCATTAAGACATAATTCCTAGCCTCTAGTCAAAGTAGAGGGATTGGTTTTTTTAAAAATCAGCTTTTCATAATGAGCATCTAATCCCCACAATCCAGAAAAATAAAATACAGCTAATTAAAAAAAAAAAGCAAAAACAAGAATAAGTTCCGGACCTCTTTAATATTAAACATCTGCAGCCTCCTTTAACATTCAGCTGTGTGACATAGTTGCTATTTCCTAGAAATGGAGATTTCTGAATCACTGAGACCCTTTCAGACATCAAGGATGCTTCTTGTTTTCCCTCTATGTGAGAACCTTTGAGTTTGGGTAGTACTATTATTTCATCCAGATTTAAAGGACCATGAAGCTTTTTTTCCATTTCATTGGCCTCCTTGTCTTCAGAACCTGTTCTGTAGCCTCTGGTAGCATTTGGCTGCACTATCACCACATACCTACCAAAACAGCAGGAGCTTAAAGTGTGGAATAGATTTTAGTATCCACATGTCATTCATTTTTTTCTTCTCTTTTAACCATTCAACAAACACTATGATGTGGAAATTTTGTGCTTCAGATCAGCAGAACACGTAGGGTAAGAGAACAAATTTTGGTATAACACATCAAGAACACTGGAAATTATCAGACATGTTCTTTGCTGAGACTAGATAAAATAATGCTTTATCCCTGTTTGACAGACCTCTATCCATACCTCTGAAAATCTCTGTAATAATTCAGATCTGGTAAGCGACAAACAAGTACTATTTCCTGGACACAGTAAAATGCATAAACTTGTAGTAACATACCCAGTCACAGCAACAAGGGTGATTTGCATATGGTGGGTTCCACTGTATAAGTCAATGGAGAACCTCAAATTTCTCCATGAAAGCAACAATGTAAAAAGTTTTGTAATTATTTTGATATCATAAATGGACCATCACTAAGATTCCATCAAGAAAAAGATCTTGTAAGAGCACATGGCAGCTGAGCAGGTATAGAGCTTGATATGGTTTGGATCTGTGTCTCCACCAAATCTCATGTTGAATTATAATCTCCATTGTTGGAGGTGGGGCCTGGTGGGAGGTGATGGGATCATGGGAGTGAAGTTCTCATGAATGGGTTAGCACCATCTCCTTGGTGCTGTTCCCGTGATAGTGAATGAGTGAGTTATTCTGAGATCCGGTTGTTTAAAAGTGTGTAGCACCTCCCCGCTTCCACCCATTTCCTCCTGCTCTGGCCATGTAAGATGTGCCTGCTTCCTCTTCCCCTTCCGCCATGATTGTTACCTAAGGCCTTTCTAGAAGCAGAAGCCAATATGCTTCCTGCACATCCTGCAGAACCGTGAGCCAATCAAACCTATTTCCTGTGTAAATTACCCAGTCTCTCGTATTTCTTTATAGCAGTGCAAGATTGGACTAAGATGGAGCCCAATCTCACCCCAGGGCCTTTGCACAGGCCTTCTGTGGAGACCACACCTTACAAAGATAGTTTCTGCTTTACACTTAAAGTCTAAGCTTTAAATGCCTCATCCCCATAGAGGCCCTCTTAAACACCCTATGTAGAGTAAATGAGTCCTCATGTTACTATCTGTCAGATTCATGTTAATTATCTTCCCTATGGCAATTTGGCATTGTTTCATTTTATATGTACCTCTTGATATCACCCCATTAGAATATCATCCCTGTGAAGACAGGGGCCGTGTCTTCACTGTCTCTTCAGGGCCAACATAGTCCTGGTTTAGAGGAGGTACTTGAAAAAAAAATGTGAAAAAATCTGCATCTGTCTGGAGAACAAATTTATTTCCATTTTGTACGCAGACATCTTTCCCACTTGCTGCTATACTCAAATAGCAGAAAAAAGTTGCTGCAAGTTGACTGTGCTACTTGCCAAGTTATTGATTACAAAATCATGCTGGGTTTTACCACTTTGGATTCTACTGAAAGGCTACACTTTACCTCTGACATAATTTTCTTTTTTTTTTTTTTTTTTTTTTTTGAGATGGAATCTCACTCTCTCTCCCAGGCTGGAGTGTGGTGGCGCAATCTCGGCTCACTGCAAGCTCCGCCTCCCAGGTTCACGCCATTCTCCTGCCTCAGCCTCCCGAGTAGCTGGGACTACAGGCGCCCGCCACCACGCCCGGCTAATTTTTTTGTATTTTTAGTAGAGACGGGGTTTCACTGTGTTAGCCAGGATGGTCTCGATCTCCTGACCTCGTGATCCACCCTCCTCTGTCTCCCAAAGTGCTGGGATTACAGGCGTGAGCCACCGCCCCCGGCCGACATAATTTTCATCTACCTGAGAATCTTCTACCATTTATGAGCTTCTGGTGGTTCTCACACACCATGCCCAATTGTATCCTTCACTCCTACACCAAAATATAGTTTTTCATTCAGGTAAAACAATATTGTGGGGAATGAAATGGATTCAGTCACCTCAGAGGTGGATGACCATACAGGCCTAATACAATTGCTGTGACTTAGAGATTTTCTTGGGCCCAAGTATAAGTATGTAGACCATTCCCACTAATTACATTTCACACCAGGAACTCATCTTGGATGATTCTATCATGTGTACCAAAAACCAAGAATTATTACCTCTCAACTAGGTAATACTTCTTTGCAAAGGAGGGTAGGTGTGCAGCATAAATCGCTTTCCTGCAAAAACGATAAATGCAAAGCAGTTACACTGTGGTAGGAGAATTACTTTATTTTAATTTTCATGTGTGTGGCTTAAGGAAGAGAGTCCTGGCTTGTTAGAATGTCACATAAACCAAAGACCACAACTTTAAGATAAAAATTTAACAAAATGAAATTTTATAAAGTGCTCCTCTTCTCTGTAAAATACAAAATATCAGTTCTTTCTTTAGAAGTCATCTTTAAGGTAAACTATAAAACCACTTCTAATGTCGTTTCCATAAATTCTCAGGGTCTTATGTATAAGTTGACCAAAATAGCATCCATCTTCTAGAAAAAGATTACTGAGACTAATTTCTTTTATGATTCTCAGATTTTCTATGAAGATATTTCTAGAATGAATTTGGGATCATTGTTTCACTGGAATGTCCTGTGTGTTAGTTTGCATTGCTATAAAGTGATACCCGAGACTGGGTAATTTACAAAGAAAAGAGGTTTATTTGGCTCACGGTTTTGCAGGCCAAACAGGAAGCATAGTGCCAGCATCTGCTTCTGAGGAAGCCTCAGGAAGTTTACAAGCATGGTGGAAGGTGAAGGAGAGCCAGTGTCTCACATGGAGAGAGAGGGAGCAAAAGAGAGGGAAGGAGGTTCCAGGCTTCTTTAAACAACCAGCTTTGGTGTGAACTAAAAACAAGAACTCCTCTCATTACTGCAAGGATGGCATCAAGCCATTTATGAGGGATCCGCCCCCATGACCCAAACACCTCTTACCAGGCCCGACCTCCAACACTGGGGATTACATTTTACCATGAGATTTGGAAGGGACAAATATGCAAACTAGATCTTACTGCTAGTGCCTGTCAGACTTGTTTTTTAATAGCAAGGAAATAAATGACTCTATCAGTACGTTCTTAAAAGTTGGTAGTGATGACTGCCACCATGTTGATCTGTTAAATAAATGTCCATTTGAGAATACAAACAGCTTTTTGAGGAGTCTAGAAGTTTCTGCCATTATCTTCTGGGTATACCCCAATGATCATGTACTATATTTTACTTGCAAAAAAGAAAATATAACCATGTGGTGATTTTTGGAAAGCAGCTTTGAACAGGTAGATTTTGGACCAGATAGATGTGAGTTTGTGTCACTTGTCCTCTCCTAACCCTATTTTCCTGCTTTGTAAAATGATGGTGACAACATAAGATAATTAATAGAAAATAATAATAATAATAAATTAGCAATAAGTATAACTAATATAAAGCACTTAGAGCACTGAAGATGCTGACTGAAAGTTAATTACCTCTTTTTAAAAATTATATCAAATACACAAAAAAATCCTCTATGTGGTATAATATAAATTGTGCACTATTGCAGAGGAACTCACTTATTTCCTGAGAGTCATCATCCAAAGCCGAGAACTAACAGAAACAATCAACAGTCTTCTGGTGCAGTGCTGTCCAATAAAACTTTCTGTAGTGGTGGAAATCTGCACTGTCCAATACAGTAACCACTAGCCAAACGACTTAGCACTTAAAAGGTGGCTAGTGTGACTGGAAAATTGAGTTTTTATTTTTATTTAATTTTAATTAATTACATTTCAATTTTATATAGTGACATGTGGCTAATGGCTATTATACTAAACAGTGCAGTTCTAGTGAAATAATGGGCTCAGGTTTGACCCAGGTATAGCAAAGTCATCAGTCACAATTCAAAACATGAATAATGCCATTATACACATTATGGTGAATTCATCTTATAAGTTTCACTGTAATACACAATAGGAAGTAAAGTTCTTCCCTTGATGAGTCTATTACTTGACCTCCATTTATGCCCCGGACTCAAGTCTACATATAGAGGAAGAAGGCACTTGAGTTAAGGGGCCAGATGGTTTGGTATAACTGTCTGAAATCAGGCTGGTAACATTTTCCTTGTCCAAAATGATGACAGCGTATATGAAGGAGACCTCAAACTCCCTTTCATATCTTGTTCAGAAGGTATCTGTATTCAAATACAAATATATGCTCACACGTATGTAAAGGGCAGTAGATGTCTATAAGAATTGTGTTTAAAACAAACATGTCTTGTGAAGACCTAAAGAAAAGACTGTAATTCTAAGAGGGCAGGCTCAGGTGCAAATAATGGCAGCATCTGTGAAACAGTAAGAGGAATGAGAAACAAACCAAAATGTATCCAGATTCAAAACAGGAGGAGAGAGAGGAAACCTTCAAGCAAAAGGAAGACGGAAAGGAAGATGATGTATAGGGCATCCAAATGCTAGACAGGGTGGAAGGGATAGTTGCGGCAGCACTCCTCTCAAGGGGGCACCAGCTGCAGGGAGTCTGTCCCTTGCAGACCCCTGACCTGGTGACGGATGAATAAAGTACACTGACACACAGATATTCTCCTCTGCCAGTCCAGCTGTGTTCGAGCCGCTTATAGACTCCCTGCTGAGTCCTGTAAACAGTTGCGACTGGCCCTGATCAGCTAGTCAGACTCACATTTATTCAGTAAGATTAATTAACAAAAGCTTGAGTCAACACCATTAGAGGGTAATTGACATTGTGGGCTTCCTGAGTAAAACGCACTTAAGCACCCACGGTACATCAAAGGTTAGTCTTAAGATTATATGAGTAAACAAGTTAGCTAGGTAAACTACTCTTCCTTTATTGCTATTTTAATTTGTTTAACTAAAGGTAAAGGGATCAGGCTGCCTCCAGCCAGATCTATTACCAAAGTTATGCAAACTTCTCAGCCTTCCAACAAGATTTGTGTCTATTTCTATAACTATCTCTAATATTTTTCCCACCAGCCTGATTGAACCCCAACAGACAGTGGCTGGGGTCAAGCACCTTCAAGAGGTAGGAGAGAGAGAGCATCCCAAATTTAGAAGAAGACTGATTGTCGAATACTTTCAGATCCCATGTACCTTACTTCTGAGTCATAGTTGACAGCCGTGCCACTCTTTCGGCTTTGAAACTCTATTCTCTTCGTTTCTACACCACTTGATTTCTTCTTATCTGCCTGGTGGCTCCTTCTTAGTCTCCTTGCCAGCTGATTTTTCACTGCTGGCCTCATGGCATGGTTTGGGGAGGCTGTGTACTGCCCAGCACCAGGGAGTACCATTCACACTGTAATCTTCATAAATTCATTATAATGACTTTCTGGCCGATAGCAATAAAGGTGCTTTCTAATTCACATAAAGGCACCATATGGCCTAGAAGTCCCCCAGTTTGGTCCTTAAGAAGGCCTTCCCTTAAGTGCCACCCTTAACCCTTGTTTGTTTTCATTTTTAATGAAACTACTGATGATGTCACTCATAGAGCTTCAACTATGATGACTCTTAAATCGATATATTATCATAGCCCATACTTCTCTCCTGAGCCTTAAACTCACATCTAATTGGGTTTTCTACTACTCTATTCAGATGTCTCAGTGGCACTACCAATACAACATATTTTAAAAAATGAATCAATCTCTAATCCTGATTAATGCCACCATCTTACTCCTGGTCACTCTAGCCAGAAACACGAGACTTATCTCCATCTCACTTACTCCTCACATAAGATCAATCTATAAAGTCTGGAGAACCTGCCTCAGTCAACCTCTTTCACGTGTGTCGCTTCCACATTCTTACCGCAAGTGCTTGAGACCTCTGCCTGCCATCTTTTATGTGAATATGTGAATCTTGTCCATTCTGCCTCCACACTGCTGCCAGTGAGATCTTTTGTTTGTTTGTTTCTTTTCTTTCTTTTTTTTTTTTTTTTGAGACGGGGTCTCGCTCTGTCCCCCAGGCTGGAGCGCAGTGGAGCGATCTCGGCTCACTGCAAGCTCCGCCTCCCGGGTTCACGCCATTCTCCTGCCTCAGCCTCCAGAGTAGCTGGGACTACAGGCACCCGCCACCACGCCCGGCTAATTTTTTTGTATTTTTAGTAGAGACGGGGCTTCACCATGTTGGCCAGGATGGTCTCAAACTCCTGACCTCGTGATCCACCCGCCTCGGCCTCCCAAAGTGCTGGGATTACAGGCGTGAGCCACCGCGCCCGGCTGAGATCTTTTCAAAATGCATATATGTTCATTTCATTCTCTTGCTGACAGTTCTTTAATTTTTATGCCTTGTTAATATGATTCACGATAAAATTTGAATTCCTGATTGTGTCATACACTATGGCATATGTGAGCTGGCCTGCATGCATTTCCATTTTCAGCTTCTACCCTTTCTCCTAACATATGCCCACACTTGAGTCATACCTATTACCTTTGGCTTCCTTAACAGGCCCAGCTCAACCACTAAGACTGAGCTGATGTCCTTTACCTTTACAGTGGTTACTGCAATTGTTTGCACATCTGTCTTCTCCTTTAGACTTTAAGTACATTGAGAACAGGAATATGATTTTTATCTTTGTATCTCTGCCACTTGCCTAGCACCTGGCACACAGAATAAATGATTGACAAGAAGATAGATAAATGCAGAGGTCAAATAGAAGAGAAAAGGAGGAAATTAATGAACTTCAAATGCCTCTGGATGATCATGAGAGGCAGGGGGTGCGATGAGGGGGCATAGGAAAGAAAATAGTGGTTATGACGCAGAAAGTATCTTTAAATCTAAAAATAATTGTGGTCTTTTCCTACCTTTCTAGGTAGAAATATAGAGTTGATTGTAGCATTGTTTCACAGAGATCTAAAATTTTTATGCTTCAGTTTTTAAAAAAATGTTCAAAAGGAAAAAAAATCAAAACATGAATGCTCTAAAGCCTTTGTCTTCTAACAAAGCTATGAACATTACTGATAAACATAAAGGGAAGATGGTATGATTTAAATGTAAAAGAATAATGGGAGAGGCCAGGCGCGGTGGCTCACACCTGATATCCCAGCACTTTGGGAGGCCGAGGCAGGCGGATCAAGAGGTCAAGAGATTGAGACCATCCTGGCCAACGTGGTGAAACCCTGTCTCTACTAAAAATACAAAAATTAGCTGGGCATGGTGGCAGGTGCCTGTAGTCCCAGCTACTCCGGAGGCTGAGGCAGGAGAATGGCATGAACCTGGGAGGTGGGGCTTGCAGTGAGCAGAGATCATGCCCGGCTGCACTCCAGCCCGGCAACAAAGTGAGACTCAGTCTCAAAATAAAATAAAATTAAGTTAAAATTAAAATAAAAAACAGAATAATGGAGAGAATATAAATATATCACCTATGCGCAAAACTGTGTCAAAACAGTAAGCATAAAAAGAAACTCTCCAAGCATGTTTTTTGCTTTTCTTTTTTCTCATTAAAAATTTGTTATTTTGAAAGTACACAGCTGTTCGCAGCTATAAATAAAGAGGCAGCAATGTCACATCTACTTGAAATACATTTAATGTCACCATTACACTTAATATAATCATTACATTTAATATCACCATTAAGCTATGTTGATCATTTGCTCTATGTTCAATCCATAGAGATGAGTTTTGGTTCATACAAATGGTCTTATATTAAGTCTGAGATTTTGCTTTTTCTTGAGTTCAAATATCTGAGGTATGTCTACTTGCTTGATAGCCATGATCAACAGAGCCTCTGATACAATACTTCATTTCTTAAATGAATACTCAGAGAGTTTTGAAAGAAGTCAATGCTCCACATCATTAGTTTAAGGTATAATGAAACCATAGGCTAGAAACTGCCTTTCATAATTTCAATTATAGATATTTAAAAAATATATTAATTAAACTTTTTGTTAAGTTTAAAAAGTTTTACTGGATCCATATTTTGCTTCATTTGTATCCTTCTCTATAGTATCAAACATTCAGGAAGTGCTCAACAAATACTTGGGCAAATTATCTAATCTTTCTGAGCCTCAGTTTACTCATCAACGAAATGGGATTAATACCCCTATCATAAGTTGTTGGAAGATTAAATGAGATAGTGCTTTGTACTGTTCCTGGAACATGGCAAACCACCCAATCAAAGGTTGCTATTATTATTTGCATACCTGATCCTTGTAAGCCTTGCCTAAGTAGCCTTTTAATTCTCAACATATTCCTGTAAGTGTAAGACTGTACATCTCTTTAACAGGGTGGTATTAGCTGAGTTACAAAATACAACGACAGATTCTCTTGGAAACTCTAAATGAACATAGCCAGTCAATAATGAGAAACTGCTCTAGTAAGGACTAAGTAGCTTATGAAACAAACTTTCCCTTTTGAAATAATGTTTACCTGCCAAACAGGCTAAAGTTAGTATTGAATAGCATAATACCGTTATGCTATTCATACATTATAGGTCAAATGCAAATGTTGCTTCATGCCTATTTTCTCTCCACCAAGGATTTTCGTCAATTCTCACACAAATGTATGACTTCAAATAGATTAAGAAGCACTAGACTGCTGGAGGCAAGAATCTACTTTGTTCTTTTACTTATAAGCATATTTAAAAATATACAGTTTACTTTTTAATGAGATGGTTTTTCTGGTTGTTGTTCTTGAGCTGTCTGTGTCCCTTGTAGATTCTAGATATTAGTCCCCTGTTACATGCATAGTTTAAATACTTTTTCCCATTCTGCAGGTTGTCTGTTCACTCTGTTATTTCTTTTGCTGTGCAGAAGCTTTTTAGTTTAATCAAATCCAATTTGTCTATTTTTGTTTTCATTGATTGTGCTTTTGAGATCTTACTCATGATTTTTTTTGCCTAGGCCAATGTCCAGAAGTTTTTCCTAAGTTTTCTTCTAGTATTTTTGTAGTTTCATGTCTTACATGTAGGTCTTTAATCCACCTTGAGTTGCTTTTTTTATATGGTGAGAAATAGGAGTCCAGTTTCATTCTTCTGCATAAGGAAATTCAATTTTCCTGGAACCAACTCCATTAAAAAGTAGGCAAAGGACATGAACAGATATTTTTCAAAAGAAGACATACACATGGCCAACAAGCATATGAAAAAATACTCACATCACTACTTATCAGAGAAATGCAAATTAAAAGCACAATGAGACATCACCAGGTGCCAGTCAGAATGGCTACTATTTAAAAAGTCAAAAAATAACAGATGCTGGTGAGGATGCAGAGAAAAGAGAATGCTTATATACTGTTGATGGAAATGTAAATTAGTACAACCTCTATGGAAAACAGTAGGCAGATTTCTCAAATAACTAAACATAGAAATCCAGCAATCCACTACCGAGTATCTACCCAAAAGAAAAGAAGTCATTCTATAAAAAAAGGCACCTGCACTTGTATGTTTATCACAAAACTATTCATAATAGCAAAGATATGCAATCAACCTAAGTGATCATCAATGGATAATTAGATAAAGAAAATATGTCATGTACACAATGGAATACTATTTGGCCATAAAAAAATGAAATCATGTCTTTTGCAGCAACATGAATGAAACTGTAGGCCATTATCTTAAGTGAAACAGCAGAAACAGAAAGTCAAATACAGCATGTTCTCACTTATAAGTGGGAAGTAAATAATGTGTACACATGGACATACAGAGTGGAATGATAGACAATGGGGACTCAGAAGGACGAGGGGAAGGTAAGGGATGAGAAATTACTTAACGGATAAAATGTACATTATTTGAGTGATAGTTACACTAAAAGCCCAGACCTCACTGCTATGCAATATATCCATGTAATACTTGAAAGGAGTGCACTGGCACTCCTTAAATATATGAGAATAAAAAACAATAAAAAATAAACAGTTTTAAATAAATCCTTTAAGAAGAGGTTTTTCTCTGAATCTCCACTATTTTTGCAGTTGTTTTTCAAATGTATTCTGAATATTTTCTATTTCTCTTTGAGTATATTCTTTTGTTCTCAGCATAGATATAGGACCATCAGCCACAGTCCTTCAGAATTGATCTCATCTTTACTACTTTACTCTTTATGCATCACATAATTATTACTAGGAATTTTCTCTGCTGTTACCAATATTCCACAATATATACATTTTTATCCTTTTAAATGGTGACATGGAAGAGTAGGGTCAGTGTTTTGTAATAACATTCAGGATGAGACTTCATAAGCAACAGAAAGAAGACACTGTCATCCAGTTTGTTAAAATACTGAAAGTAATTGTAGATGGTAGATAGTAGTTTCCTTGGAACACTATGAGTTAAAATAGTCTTATTCTACCCATAACAGATGAGATTTACTAACCTGAAGAAATTACCAAAAAAGATGTATTGACACCCAGTTTAAAGTGCAAGAAGGACTGCGTCAGAAAATGTATTGACATCTCCAACATCAAATAATGTTTTGAAGAAAAATGTATAAACAGAAGTAAATAGCAAGAATTTATAGGGCTTCTCTTTCCTAACAGTGATCAAAAGGTAGAGACACAAAAGCCTCATATGCTGGAATCCAAAAAGGCTTACATTGTTGTGAGACAGAGATGCCACTTAGACTTAACCATTCATAGTATGGACCATTTCAAGAGGGGTCACCATACTTTGCTTCAATTCCATGTTAACTAAACAATCTTTTTCTTGCTAATCTGAACACCCTGTGCAATAGAGTCTGACTCCATTTTTTGACGTTTGACTGCAGACATCTTTTCAGCCTAACCCTTCCATCTTCTCTTTCTGTCCAACACTGGGGCAAGCTGACAAAAATCCTCAGGTGCTCCTCTTCTGTAACCAGCAGTAAGTTCGAATCATACACTGCCACCCTCACCCCAACCCTGTCCCTTAACCACATTAAAACCCAAAGCCAGTCTCCTTTAATTTTATCCCAGCTCTCTCAAGACATTTTCAACTTGAGATGCCTATCCTGCTTTCTCCAGAAAGCATCATTATGGGAGTAATAAACCTCTTCATACCCTCCTGTGGTGTGTGTGTGTGTGTGTGTGTGTGTGTGTGTGTGTGTGGCATCACTAGCCTGGAAACCTAAATCAAATTTTGGATGGAGGTCTGTTCCAACTTTATGGACTAGCCACAATACCCAGTCAACATGATCTTAGAAAGTGGGTCTCATGGAATGCAGGCACAATCATATCAGTACCTAGGAAGAAATGCGCATTTAGCTTAAACATCAATTTTTCACGAGTTCACATACTGGGAATCCATTCCATTGAATCTAGTCAATGCTAACATGATGCTGAGACTGAATTTCAGAACCTGAGAAGTTGAAGATTCGTTCTGAAATTTGGTAACCTGTCCAATGGACTACTAGAAGACATCTTGACTTTTTGTTTCTATTAACTATAAAGGAAACACAGTTTTATTCCTCTAGGAAATAATATATACTCCATTTGAAGGAACAGTTCTACATTAGGATGAGCAAGCTTAAATGTCTGCAGGGGTCAATGGTTAACCTACGGAGAGAGCAAGAGAAAATTGACATGCCAAGATTTTGTATTATAACTTAGAATAACATGTCTCTAGTACATTGCCTATTGAAATACTATATTGTGCTTAAAAAGGCAATGTAACAACTCCACACCAATTAGAACCCCAAATCCCAAACACATACAACACCAAATGATGGTGAGAATGTGGAGCGATAGGAACTCTCATTCATTAATGGTGGGAATACAAAATGGTACAGCTACTTTGGAATACAGTTTGGCAGTTTCTTACAAAAGTAAACATGCTCATACCATATGATTCAGCAATTATGCTCCTTGGTATTTACCCAAAAGAGGTGAAAATTTATGTCCACACAAAAACCTGCACACAAATGTTGATAGCAACTTGATTCATAATTGCCAAAATTTGAAAGCAACTAATATGTCCTTCAGTAGGTGAGTGAATAAACAAACTGTAGTATCTTTAGACAATGGAATATAATTCAGGGCTAAATGGAAATGAGCTATCAAGCCATGAGAAGACATGGAGGAAACTTAAAAGCATATTACTGAGTGAAAGAAGCCATTCTGAAAAGGCTACATACTGTCTGATTCCACTTACATGACACTCTGTAAAAGGCAGAACTATCGAGGCAGTAAAAATGATCAGTGGTTGCTAGGGGTTAGGGAGAGGGAGGAATGGATAGATGGAGCACAGAGGATTTTTAGGGCAGTGAAACAGCTCTGTAAGATACTATAATGGTGGAAACATGTTATTAAACATTTGCCCAAACCTATAGAAAGAACACCACCAAAAGTGAACCCTAATGTAAACTATGGATTTTGGGTGATAATGATGTGTCCATACAGGTTCACCAGTATAACAAATATACCACTCTTGTGTAGGATATTGATAATGGGGAGGCTGTGCATGTGTAGGGGCACAGGGGATATGGGAACTCGCTGAACTTTCCATTTAATTTTGCTGTGAACCAAAAACTGCTAAAAAAAAATAAAAGCTTTAAAAAAATGGTATTTCAAGGTCAGCTTTTGACCCTCTGCTATAAATGCTAGGGTAGAAAAGTTGCTAGCTAAAAATTTAAGAATCTTAATCACGTTGTTAACAAATGAAAAAGACATCTCTTAATATGTACGGTGTGGATGATAATTACACATTTGTATATAAATACAAAAATTGTCACTAAAGAAACCGAAGCATTTGTTTTGAGTCTCTTGCTTTCCATTTCCCTTTCATTTTTATTTATGCCAACCAGACTCCTGTGCTTCATGAACTGTTATAAAAGCTGATGCTCAATTAATCGACCTCATCCCTTACACAGACAAATTAGTTGATGTTGGTATTTCATGCACAAATGCAATGTTTTATGGAATGTTGAGCTACTTTGTAAACATATAACAAATATCACTTGTCATATGTTTATATATAATATAACAAATATTATTTGCTGTATAGAAATCTGCAAATATACAGATACTGTTTAAAGAACTCAGGGGTTTAGAGTTACCCAAAACTAGGTTCAAATACTGATTTCACCAGTAGGTAACCACGTAAATTGGGAAAGTTGGTTCACAACATCTGCCATATGGAGAATCCTAAAGATGAAAAGAAGATTGCATATATAAAGCATCCATCATAGTGCCCAGGACACAGGAGGTGCTTAATAAATATAACCTCTTTCCTTTCCAAGGTAGTCTTCTTGGCTTCTTTGGGTTTTAGTACTCTGAAACCTTGTAGGGGCTTCATGCGTCCAATTGTTCACATTTACTCAGAATATTCACATTTGCAAAATCATAAAATGTGCATAAATCAAATTTGCATCCGTTTAATTTATTTAATTTGTGGAAATGCAATAACAAAACAATGGAGAGAATTATTCACTGTGGTGTGCAATTCACTTATTTTTTAATTTCATGTGATTTGAATTCGGTGAGATAATTAATGATGGTTATTTCTCACACATGGCTACTCACTGGGCCATAGCTATTTTTCTCCTACTACTTTCTGAAAGTCACTGGAAAGCTAACTGTTTAGAGGCCCTAGCCAAAAGTCCTAATCAACCAATACAAATAGTCAGGCAACTGACTTTCTGATAAGTAAGAGTCCACTATTTATTTTAAAGGAGTAGTAGTCTCTATACAAGAATTTGTTACCTTGCCTTGAAAAGCATTGTTACAAGACAATTTTGAAGAAGTGAGCTCTGATGCTAGGAGTGGATGAGATTTTGAAAGGAATCAAGCTTTCTTCATTCTCCTTCTTAAACAATTTTTAGTTCAAGTTACTCTCCCTGAAAGCCTGAAGCAAAGCCGCATACACCAGGTAAATGCAAGAGCCTGTTAATGCAATGTTATGGCTGAACATGTAAGTGTATCAAAGGTCAAGTTTCACTTACAGTTCCCATAGCAATTATAATTTAGCCACTTAACACTTCAGTGGTAACCATCCTCAGAGTATACACAAACAGAGAAAGCATTCCTGCAGTAGCTCTAGGTGTTTCTGTCAAGTACAAGTTTTGGCTATTATGTTGCATTTGTTTTTAGTGTCTTTACACACATCGGTGTTTCAAAAGCATCATATTTAACTTCTGTCACTGAAAGCTCGTCTAACCGGCCTTACTGTCTCAATGGTGATGTCTTCAGCCACACATAATCTTGCGATTGTCCATTTCAGTTCATATATGGCATTACAAGTTTTCTCCTTACACTTTTATGGAGAATCACCTGTGACAAATCCTCCTAAGCATATTGAAAGGCTGTTTTACTCCCTTTTCCCTTGCGGGGCTGGTAGGAGCCTGGCTCAGGGTAGAGATGGGGGAAATGCAGACAGGACTGGAGAAATGCGCAAGACTTGGAGATCTGGCCTGTTTATCTGAGACTTTGTTTTCTATTTTGGTTAGGAAGGGAAAGAAGTCCCTGATCATAAATGTGTCTGCAGATTTTCTACAGGTCCTTTTCAGCTAGGTATGGAAAGCACTGTAGTGCTCTTCCACTGCCTACTCCCAGAGCTAGCTCACTTCTCTCTGTCTCTTCAGAAAGCTGTTCACAGACCCAGGGAGGGAAATGAGGACAGGGGCAGGAATGAGTTTTCAATTGGAGCCTCATGAAAACAGAACAGAACATTGTATTTCAGAAGAAGAGAACACCCATTAATCCCAAAGAGTTGATTTAATAAATGTTGAATCATCTCCAGTTGCCTCCCCAAAGCAGTAACAAAACAAAATTAATGTAAAAATTGAAATTCTTCTGATTGTCAGTGGAACCTCAAGAGCAGTGAGGAAATGTGTGATGCGGACATCTCAGATAAAAACCACCGTGAATTTTGGCCGGGCGCGGTGGCTCATGCCTGTAATCCCAGCACTTTGGGAGGCCGAGGTGGGTGGATCACCAGGTCAGGAGATGGAGACCATCCTGGCTAACACAGTGAAAACCCGTCTCTACTAAACTACAAAAAATTAGCCGGGTGTGGTGGTGTGCGCCTATACTCCCAGCTACTCAGGAGGCTGAGGCAGGAGAATCCCTCTAACCCGGGAGTCGGAGATTTCAGTGAGCTGAGATTGCACCACTGCACTCCAGCATGGGCAACAAGAGGGAAACTCCGTCTCAATAAATAAATAAATTAATTAATTAATTAAAAATAAAACTACTATGAATCTTGAACTCTAGCAGAGAAGTGAAATCACCTCTGCTGGCTCCTCCTCTGCTCAGCCTCTAAATGCTGAAGTGTCTTGTCTTGGGACTCAGTGCTGATCCTTTTTTTTTTTCTGTCATCACTCTTGCCTTCTCCCTGGGTTATCCCATCTAGCCCCCTGGCTTCAATTACCATCTGTATGCTGATAACACTATAATTTATATCTCTAGTCCAGACTCCTCGCAGGAGCTCCACACTCCTAGGTGTGCCCGCTCATTTGACTTGTCACCTTGTCTAAAGAGCTTCTCAAACTTAGCAAGATAAAAACAGAACTTTTGATGTCTGTATCCTCCCCTCCAAAGCTGCGCCTTCCCTAGTATTCCCCACCTCAGCAAATGGCATCACAGTGCACACATTTCCTTCAGACCTCCAATCCATGAGTTGTCCTTCATCCTTCTATTTCCCCTCATTCTCCTACCCCTACTTCATATCCAAACTACCATCAAATCCTACCAGCTGTATCTTCAAAGTCTGTCTGGAATCAGCTCCATCTCCTCCTTGTTGTTTGTTACCATCCTAATTCAAACCTATATCATCTCTTGCCTAGATGACAACAGCCTAAACTGGTCTCACTGCCTCCACTCTTGGAACAGTTAGTTATCCCTTTTTGTTGCTGTTGTTTTATAAAATATTTTTGGAGCGATCTTTTAAAAATGTGACTCAGTGAGCCCTGTGGCAGTGTATTAGTACAAACTCATGTTTAGTTTAATGTAGATACAGATGGATAGATATATAAATATTTATAGATATGTGTATATATATTGGTTAGTTCACACAAATCATGCATTTCTTAGCTATGTTAACTGAGAGGGCCTAGAGTCAATGACACCTTGCTAGCAATTAGAACACTCAGGGCACAAATCTTGGTTTCTAATATCATTCTCCAACAAGAGGAGCCAGAGTCCTTGGAGAAATGGCTGATTCTAGCACTGGGGAAGGAAAAATACAAGGTGAGCGTACAGCATCTTGTAGTGGCAGAGAGTAAGATAGTGCTCAAAAAAAGGATACGGGTATATCAAAGGAATATAGGAGCCAACCTGAAAGAGCTCCCACCAGCCAAAGCTGGAACAAATTGAACAATAAAATAAATAACGTAGTATTTGGATTATTACACAAAGTATGATATAATTATCCATGAGTTTGTACTGATATAAATAAATAAATGTTTGAATAAAGAGATAAGTGAGGAATAATGGGCAAATCTTCCATACAGGAGAATTTCAAATAATAAATGTGGCTGTTCCCCTTTCCGGGAGATGCGGCTGAGTTCCCTTTCCCCCTTCTCCTTGAAGGTTGGGTAGACTTAGTGCTCTGCTTCTAAAGCATAAAATATGAAGAAGGAAAAATAGTAACTTTATAGGGGAGAAATTAAGCAAGCACTACCGGAACTAAGTGATGAAGGTTAACATCTCCAGTAATGGCATGTGGCTACCTATCAAAAACCCCTGATATGATATGATAAGAAGGACACATCACCTCTAGGGTAGTCTTTCAAAACACCCCTAATTTGAGCCTAATTATGAGGGGAAAACATCAGATAAACCTCAGACTGGGAAAATTTTTACAGGGTACCTGACCAGACTCTTCAAAACTGTCAGGGTCATGAAAAAAAAAAAACAAAAAACAAACAATCAAACAAACAAAAAAACAAGAAAAGACTGAGGAAATATCAGAGACCAGAGAAAACTAGGGTGATTTGATGACTAAATGCAGTGTGGTAGCTGGGATTTGATCCTGGAACAGAAAAAGGAGATTAATGGAAAAACTGGTGAAATTCAAATAAAGCCTTGAGTTCAGCTAGTATTCATGTACCATGGTATATTAAGATGCTAACAATGGTGGGAACTGGGTGAAAGTGTGCAGAAACCCTCTGTACTATCTTTAAACTTTTCTGTAAATCTAAAATTATCCCCAAATTATCAAATTATCCCCAAATTATCAAATTATCCCTAAGTTCATCTTAAAAACTTTTAAAAAAAGGCTGCTTTTACACTGTAGGGTAAAAGTTGGAAAATTTAGCAGAGTGTTCACTCTACAGCAAATGAACATAAAATGAGAAATAAATGAAAATTAAGGGCAGAAAAGCTGGGTGGTGATAGACCCGAAGCTAAAGGTGAGGTTTTATGGACCTCACTAAAATACTAAAAGAAAACAACAGTGGAAAAATTGGGAAATTGTGTTTTAAAAGCAGAAGCATAAATATTTTTTATAATATACTTAGTGGGTGAACTAGAAGAAAAATATAGTTTCATAGTGATACAATAATTAGTAATCCCTAAATCTGTCTTTTTTGAATTTAAAGTCATTATAACAACTCAACATCATGAGGCCAGCATGAGGATGGGAGATGGGATGAGCAGTCTATACAGTCATAGTGAAGGTAGTGATTCTGAAATAGCCAGAACAAGGGCCAGCAAATTATGGTCCATGTGCCAAGTCCAGCCCACAGCCTGTTTTCGTAAATGTAGTTTTACGAAATGAAACTGGCTGATTGGAACACAATCAGTCCCAGTAGTTTACATATTGGCTACTGCTGCTTTCATGCTACAATGGGAAGCAGAGTTGAGTAGTTCTGACAGAAACCATTAAGTTGGTAAAGCATAAAATATTTATAATCTGGACTTTACAGAAAATTCAGCCAGAAAGTATAGACAAAAGCAGACATACAGATCCATTGTCCAGATTACACAACTCTCTATTTTGGTGGAGGAAAAATAGACCCACAAAAATATATGTAGACTAGAAAAGACCATTTATTTTATTCTCTTTTTAGGGCACAAAGGTATCAAATCCCAGCTAAATTATGAATAAATCATTCCCTTAAATCTTTTCAGACAAGATGACATGATTGCCTCTTTCTCATGATCTAAACCTGACATGTACAGGCTCAATATACTTTAAAATCTATGGTTTGCTGTGTTTAAAGACTTAAAAATTAAAAGGTTTGTATCTGAAATCCAAATAAAAAATTATATATATATACGCTTCTTACTTCAGGGTTATTTCAATTGAAAGTCAAGCAGAAATAAAAAGATTTATGAAAAATAATTATATAATACTCCAAGCAAAACGTTATTTAATAACTGAGCTCTAGAGAAATGAAGAAAAATTGACAAAATAGTTACATTCAATACAGCAAGAAAGAATGCCAGAAGGAGCTTAGTAACACATAAAATTGATATTGTAAAAAAAAGGGTTAAGACATAAATACTTTATTAGCTGGAGGAAATACAGGAATGTTTATGGAAGTTTCAGCAAGAAAAATTACGCAAATACTACTACCAAGAACAGTTATAAGAACTAAGCCGGGCCGGGCGCAGTGGCTCACACCTGTAATCCCAGCACTTTGGGAGGCCGAGGTGGGCGGATCACGAGGCCAGGAGATCGAGACCATCCTGGCTAACACGGTGAAACCCCGTCTCTACTAAAAATACAAAAAATTAGCCGGTTGTGGTGGCGGGCGCCTGTAGTCCCAGCTACTTGGAAGGCTGAGGCAGGAGAATGGCGTGAACCCGGGAGGCGGAGCTTACAGTGAGCCGAGATTGCGCCACTGCACTCCAGCCTGGGCGACAGAGCGAGACTCCGTCTCAAAATAAATAAATAAATAAATAAATAAATAAATAAATAAATAAATAAATAATAAATAAAGAACTAAGCTGTATAATTCTAACAAGAAGGGCTAGAAACTTGTGCTCAGGTACTATCCTACATAAATAATGAAAGCAATTAGGGCAAATGGTAAAGATATTGCATATTTTTCAGAAAAAGAATATGTCCAGCCTGGAATTATCAAATGGGCCATTTAGCTTCAGACCTAAAAAAAATACTCAAGTGACTCATCCAGAAATCAATTCGCAACTCCTTAAAGATCAGAGAACACAAAATAATCTCAAGCGATTATTTGCAATTTGCAACTCCTTAAAAGATCAGAGGAGACAAAATAATGATGAACATGGATTTGGCTTTCTGTAAAACAGTCTATCAGACCAATCTCCTGTCTCTATGACACAGTGACAGGAACAGTAGACGGAGTCAGCTGAAGTCCTGCACTCGGGTGCTTATGACACTAATTTGTGAGAAAGACACACAGGATCTCCTAGAGCTGCAATATGGGGGCCACACCTAGGCACATGTGGCTACTGGGCACCTGCACTGTGGCTAGTCTGAATTGAGATGTACTGTTAAGTATAAATATATAACAGATTTTGAAAACTTAGCACAAAAAATATCTCATTAATAATTTTATATTGATTACATATTGAAATGATAAAGGTTTATGTAGACAGGGTTAAAGAAAATATACTATCAAAATTAATTTCACTAGTTTTTAAATATTTTAATGTGACAGCAAATTTAATATTACAGGTGGCTTGCATTTACGCCTCACATGATGTTGCTGTTTAATAGCACTGTCTGAAATATAGACTAATGCTAAGCCCAGAACATCATGGAAAAATCTCGTATCATATGTGAACATCAGTTTTTCCTTCTGTCTATGGGGCAGGGGGAGGTTGAGAGGTTGGCGCGTAGGATGGGGGCAGGATAATTATTTGTTGAATGGGCGTGTCCCTTGTATTGCAGTATGTTTGGTATTTCTAGGTCCCACCCACTCATGCTCTGCCACCTCTAGTCATGACAACCAAAAAACACTCTTCTCGTGTTACCAAATGCTCCTGGGGTACAGTGGGGCAATATTATCCCATGTCAAAGGCAGATGAGCTAGGAGATAGCAAAGATTCTTTCCACTGCTGAATTTTTATGATTCTACAGTGTGATTTTTATAAAACTCCCTTTTTTGTCTTGATTTTATAAAAATTGCTTTTTTATTAATATATTTACCTAATGTCTAATGATGGCTTATTGAGGGCTGAACTACAAAATCATTCTTGTTGTTCACCCGGTATAATGTTCTAAGTTTGTATGAAGTTTATTTTTCTGGTGCTTGTTTCCTCCTGCTTTTTATTTTATTCATTTGTATACATGTTTTGTGCTGTAAGCAGGATCATAAGCTCTGATGGAAGAAACAATAAACTTTCTCTCTCATAACAAATGAACAATAGATACCAATGAAGTAAAGGGATCCAGAGGACAGGATAGTTTTCTAGATTGACTTAGAATCTGGTGTTATTTAATATTTTCAGTGGGACTAGGGTAGTGTAATATATCATTAATTTGAAATTTAACCATATGCTGCCTTTTGTAGTAAAAAACTGACATAGATTTAAAATTATCTATGAATTATCCACATGAAATAAAATTAGAATAGGGCAGAGAATTATGTCTTACTGAGGTAATAAATTACATTTAAAAATAACTATATGATATCATATACATTTTCTAATTTAGGAATTGAAAGAACCCTATGAAACAGACATTATCACTTCCATTTTATTAAGAGGAAACTGAGGTTTAAGGTTAGCAACCTGATGATAAAAATGTCAGAATTTGAACCGAGAACTTGAACTTAGGTCATCTGATGACTAGGCTGATGATATTTTTACCTATTCCTACTGAGAATTCAACACAGAAGAAATAGATTCTTAAAAATGAAGGAGAGATTTAACTAAGCCTCACAAATTTTGAGGGTTGGGGTGAGACACCAGAATATGCTACTAAAGATTTTAAAAACTCCCTCTTTAGGGACCTTTAAGAATGAAGGGGCCGGGCTCAGTGGCTCACGCCTGTAATCCCAGTACCTTAGGAGGCTAAGGTGGGTGGATCGCTTGATGTCAGGAGTTTGAGACCAGCCTGGTCAACATGGTGAAACCCTGTCTCTACTAAAAATAGAAAAAAATTAGCTGGGCATGGTGGTGGGCACCAGTAATCCCAGCTACTCGGGAGGTTGAGGCAGGAGAATCATTTGAACCTGGGAAGCGGAGGTTGCAGTGAGCTGAGATCGCGCCACTGCACTCCAGCCTGGGCGACAGGGCGAGACTCCATCTCAAAAAAAAAAAAAAAAAAAAAAAAAAAAAAGATGCTAGATTGGCCTTTACAATGGTTCTTAGGAACCAGCCCATATAATTGTTCACAGTGAAAGAGTGGAAGTAATTCAAAAGAAGTACAGTCTTGAACTCTGAGTGGTATTTAAGAATTCAGTGACAATTTACCTTGCCTACACCTCTTTATTTAAAGCCTGACCTAATCTTTCCCAGAACTGCAGATTCAAATTGATTTCTGTGGCTTGGATAGACAATTATCCCAGTGGAGTTATGTAAGGTCCTTTATAGAGGAGAAAAATCAGCCTCTCAGAAATTTTCTGCCTTTGTGCTGATACTTGTTTTTATTGAGGTAAAATTCACATAACACAAAATAAATAATTTTAAAGGGTACCACTCTTTAATATAATTTTTTGTTATGTGTTGCCACTTAGTAATTCACAATGGTACACAGCCATAACCCTTATCAAGTTCCAAATCTGTGTTGATATTTGCAGTTAAGAAAATTTTAGCATTTTTAAAGGTTTCCTAATAAAATAATGAGGTGGTATAGATTCTGAAAATCTGAAGGCATCTAGTAAATGTTCATTTGGAATTAAACTAGCCATTTAATACATGAATGATACATGATTGTGCTTGATAAATGAATGATAATAAAAGTTAAAGTGCTGTTAAAAACCAAGGTAAAATGCTAGCTAGAGACTGTCTTATGGAAAAGTCCTACTTCTCCATTTTATCTTCAGTACGAACATAAAAGCTGTACTACAAAACACTATAGCCATATTTCAAATGAAATTTGATTGCTGTTAACTGTAGAAAATTCCATATTTATTGGAAAAAGATGCATTCCAGATGCATTTAGAAAGTATAATTAACAGAACAGATGGTGAGATGAATATGGCAGTGAAGGAGAGAATGTTGTCAAAAATCTCCCTTAAGATTCAGACTTCATTCATATAGGCCAGGAAGACTTAGAAGAAACCTAGTTTGGAAGGAAGATCTTGAGTTCGAATTGGGCTAGGATCAATTTCTAGTCTCTTCGAGACAATCAAATGAGTTAGGAATAGAGAGGAGTTGTTTGGATTGGAGATTATGTTTGTGAGTCATTGATATGTAGGTGATAATAATTGAAAGGGGAGGAATGAATGAAACTGCTAAGGGAATTGGAAAAGGAGGCCAAGGAAAGAATGTTGAGGAATCTTAAAAGAGTGAATTGTCAGGATGGGACAACTGAAGACCTTGAGAATGAGCAACTGCAGAGGTAGGAGGAAAACCAGGAGAGTGTATTGTCATAAAGGCCAAAAAGAAGGGGTATTTCTAAAACGATATACTGACAAGAGTTGAATACCACTGAGACTTCCGCTTTAATGAGGACTGGAATGCAATTGGCCTTAGGGATGTGATGGTTACTGAGATTTTACTGTAGCAAGAGTTGTTTAGTGGAGTGATGGAGGAACAGGATTACAGGTCAGATTGGAATGGACTATGGAGTCAATGGAAAGTAAAAAAAAAAAAAAAAAAGACAATGAGTAAAGATAATTCCCTCTGAAAATTCCTCCTGAAGGGGCAGAGATGAGCAATAGCTCTGGAAGGAATAGGTGTGAATGGGAAAATGAAGAGATACGTAGATAACCCTTATGCTGCTCAGGGTCTCATCCCCTAAACGGCCCTCTCCCAGTAAAACCCTCCATCTACATCCTTGATGTTGAGGGAATTCACTTCATTTATCCATCCACTCTTGGCCCAACTAAACCAATCTCTTAAACTAGTAGAAAGATATGACCCCTTCCAGGCACATACTTACATTTTAACCAGAAACTCATTGTCTTATGATAGTGAGAGGTGAAGCCAGCTGGACTTCTGGGTTGGGTGGGGACTTGGAGAACTTTTCTGTCTTACAAGAGGATTGTAAAAGCACCAATCAGCACTCTGTAAAAATGCACCAATCAGCGCTCTGTGTCTAGCTAAAGGATTGTAAACGCACCAATCAGCACTCTGTGTCTAGCTAAAAGACTGTAAATGCACCAACCAGCACTGTGTAAAAATGCTCCAATCAGCACTCTGTGTCTAGCTAAAGGATTGTAAATGCACCAGTCAGCACTCTATAAAATGGACCAATCAGCAGGATGTGGAAGGGGACAAATAAGGGAATAAAAGCTGGCCACTGCAGCCAGCAGCTGCAACCCACTCGGGTCCCCTTCCATACGTGGAAGCTGTGTTCTTTCACTCTTCACAGTAAATCTTGCTGCTGCTCACTCTTTGGGTCTACACCACCTTTAAGGGCTGTAACACCTGCTGTGAAGGTCTGTGGCTTCATTCTTGAAGTCAGCGAGACCAAGAACCCACCAGAAGGAACCAACTCTGCACACAATAGTAGTGTTAGTACCCAAGGATGGCTTCTATGGGAGAGATACTTGGTCTGGGAATCTTTCCTCTCTTCAAATCACATACATTTTCCTAAGATTACATGTATTGTTCAATGAACTATCTAGGTATAATCTGTCTATCTATCTATCTGTCTATCCTCTATCTGTAAAATCATCTTTAACCTCCATTTATACTCAAAAAAATACAAAGGCCTAAAAATCTCCAGATTGCCTTTTATTTTCTTTTGTGTTTGCTTTTAAGATGGGATATTCTTGAATATTCTTAAATGCCAATAGGTAGAATCAAGTATTGGGGGAAATGTTGAGATTAAAGCACAGAAAAAATAATTAGGGTGTGAATTGCCTGAAAGGCAGAAGGGTATCCAACTTAGAGCCCAGATGGGCAGATTTACCCTAGATTGGAAGAGGAACAGCTCCTCTGTACAGCAGTAGGGAAAGAGGAGCTGATGGGTGTCACTGAATTTAGGTCTGTTATTCTGGTGGGAGGCAGGTTCTTTCTACTGTCTTGCATCTTCTCTGTGAAGTGAGTTATGTGGTGAGAGTGGAGTGGAGGAGAGGCACTGAAAGTTTCCGGAAGCAGTGAAAACACAAGCTGACCAGAGAAGCCATTGTTGTCATTGCTGTTGTTTTGATAATTTTATAAGTTAGAGATTTGAGCTAGGAGTCTATTTTCCATAGAACATGTTCTCCTAAAAAAATTGGCTAGTTTTTCATGAAACTCACAAAAATCTTCTTAATTCTTAATGAAGTAGTAGTAATATAATATTAATGATACTATTTTAGCCTTAATGACTCAAAGGAGGTGTTTAATAAGTGCTTTTATTAAAAAAGAAAAAACATTCAACCTTTAGTGTGTAATTCTACGGGTGAACGTCAGGAAAACTAATCTAAAAATTTATCTCTCTGTTTCTCAATTGTTACAAGATGTATTTGAAAGATTCTAAGCATAATAACAAGATAAACACTGGTTATTGAGTCAAGTAGAAAAACATGCAATTCTATATTTTGCAGATAAGTACATAGGAATTAATGAATATTTAAGGGTAATAAAACTAGATACAACATATATTGATTATGTAAAAATATATGTGCTTGGAAAAGATAAAAAAAGAAGCTGCCATCCTCCTACCACACCAAAAATGTAAGAAGATATATCACAAACTGATATTCTTTCTGTACACAGAAGGATTATGAGAAGAAAATGAGAAAACCAAATGATTTCTCAGGCAATCTGGAGGTTTTCAGGCTTTTATATTTTGTGAGTATGAATGGAAGTCAAAGGCGATTTTACAGATAGAGAATAGATAGATAGATAGATAGATAGATAGATAGATAGATAGATAGATAGATAAACAATGAATAATACATGTGATCTTAGGAAAATACATACAATTTGAAAAGAGAAAAGATTCCCCAGACCAAGTATCTCTCCCATAAAAGTCATCCTTGGGGCCTAAAAGTACTATCAGAAGACAATGAAATTTCTGGTTAAAATGTAAATATGTGTCTGGAAGGGATCATATCTTTCTAACTAGTTTAAGAGGTTGGTTTAGTTGAGCCACAAGTGAATGGACAAATTAAGTGAACTCCCTAAACATGAAGGATGTGGATGGAGGGTTTCATTGGGAGAGGGCAGTTTGGGACCCTGAGCAGCATAAGGGAACTGGAAACTCATGTTGGAAGAAGCAAAGAACTCAGAGGCATTTTGCGCACCCTTGAGTATCTTTATGATACTGGGCTTCTCAAGATAATCATTGAGTCATTACTACTCTGCAAGAACAGGGCATAATGAGAAGTGATATCTTGCTTTGTTTTGGTTTTTTGATCAAGAAAAGCAATATCTTTTGCTTCATATAAGCATTCTTTTATTATTTTACCCACCGTGAATTTGCTTTTAGATTAGCTCCACACATCACACCTTCTGCTGGTAAGAGTGAGTGAGCCTTTGAGGGAAGTTTTTGTTGAATTTGGCTCTCCTGGGGATGGTTGATTTTAGCTTTCCTTGACTGATTTTGTGAACTATTGAATTGTCTCAAGGTTGCTCTTAAAGAGGATTTTCCATTGCAAATATGAGATAAACACCCAAGTCTGTAATATCCATACTCCTCAGCCCAGCTACTTTGAAAGGCAAGGTTTTTTTGTTTGTTTGCTTTTTTCATCAGCCACTTTTCTCCTCTTGGAAGTAGTCATAGAAGAGTTTTATATTTTATAGAGAAAATGGCCCATATTATTCCCATCAACGGTGGTCCCTTCTATAATACCTGACTAGTAGAATCACAGCTTACAACTGATTACTTGATTCAGACACTGGATCACTAAAGTAGAGGAGACAGATGGGGCCAGGCAGAGTTTGATTCTCTCCATGCCTCAGTTTTTCCACTCATCATAGGAAAAGTATTCCTGAAATTAGATCATACAAGATAGAATGGCCATGGACTGCCTGACAAGGTCGGAGTAGGTAGGTGTCTCTCTGATGTTGTGGAAAGTGAACAAAGGAGTCTTAGTATGATAGGTCGGGGTGTGAATGCCAGCTTTGAAAAGAATTTTCACCTTTGCATTTCAGTTCTGTCTTCTGTTGAATGGGGCTCATGCCTGGCTTGTTGCTTTGTTGTGAGGCTTAATGGGAATGTATGTAAAGAACCTGGCATAGGGTAAGTACACAGCAAGTGGCTATGAATGGAAATAAAATCTCTGAACTACCTAGCCCAATGTTCCAGGCACAGGAGAAGCCTGCTACATATAAGTGTCCTTGCTCTTTCCTCCTCCCATGATGTATATCAGCAACTTTCTGAATATTGACATCAGGAGTCACACACAATGCAATTAAGAGATTGTTATGGGCTGAATTTTGTCCCCCTCAAATTAATATGTTGAAGTTCTAACCTTGATAACCTCAGAATGTGACCATATTTGGAGATAAGGACCTTATAGAGGTAATTCAGTTAAAATGAGGTCTTTAGAGTGGGCCCTAAACTGACCTGACTGGTGTCCTTATAAGTAGAGGAAACCTGCACACAAACACATACAGAGAGAAAATGTTCTGAAGACACAGGAAAAAGATGGCCATCTACCAGCCAAAGAGAGAGAGAGGCCAGGAACAGCTCCTTCCCGATGGCCCTCAGAAGGAACCAACCCTGCCAGCATCTTGATCTCAGATATCTAGCCTCCAGAACTGTGAGAAAATGCATGTCTGCTGTTTCAGCCATCCAGTCAGTGGTATCTTGCTGTAGCAGCCCTAGCAAATTCATCCAGTGAAATTAAGACAGAACATTCAATAAACACGTAAATTAAGCCATATATTGTCAGCAAAGGAAGATATTTTTTGAATAAGTTCTCTAATGTAGTTTCTCTAGTTTCCATATCCTATACTACAAGAAGCAATATCAAAGAACATGGGCCTTACCATATTAGAAAAACAAGGCTGTCCCCCGTCCTGGGCCCCTTTTTGAAAAAAAAATTGAGACAAGATCTTGCTGTTTCACCCAGGTGGAGTACAGTGGCACTATTGTGGCTCACTGCCACAATGTGCCTGCCACTGTGACTCGACGTCCCAGGCTCAAGCAATACTCCCACCGCAGCCTCCCAGGTAGCTGGAACTACAGACAGGCACCATCATGCCTGAACTAATTTTTGTATTTTCTTGTAGAGATGGGGCTTGGCCATGTTACCCAGGCTAGTCTCCAACTCCTGGGCTCAAGCAATCTGCCCACCTCAGCCTCCCAAAGTGCTGGAATTACAGGTATGAGCCACCACACCCTCCTTTTTCTTAAAACAAAATTATTTATGGGCATATGCTTTTTAAAACATTATCACTTAATGTAAGTTTTAAGAACATAAAATAGTGGTGGTACTGGGAATGAATTTTACTCCAATTTCTTTTTTTTTTTTTATTGTTATAATGGTTACAACTAATCTCATCCATTTAGGCCACTATTTCTGAGGACTATTAATTTTACAGTGACCACCAGATGAAAATCATTAGTTTATTCTTCATGTAGCAGACCAGGAGTGTGTGTCTCACATGAGATGCCATGAATTGCATTTGAAATTTTAGAGGCACAGCATAGACTATCCACCATCTTGTCACTGAGCTCCTTCCCATTAGCAGAACAGATAATGGAAATTTTCCTTACTTCTTTTTGCATGATTCTTCCCATAATGGTAATTTGCCTTCTGGACAGAATATACAGTGGCTGAGGTTTTTTGTTGTTGTTGTATGTTTTTTGTTTGTTTTTTTTGTGCTTATACTACAATAGCTATTTAATTATAAAGTTAATAATTACATGTAATCTCAGGAAAATCTTGGAACGCATCTGTGAAATGGGGATAAAAATACCATCTAGAGCCCAGAGTAAATGCCCCACTCTAGGATTTTGTCCAGTTCTGAGATCTGTGAATGTGTGAATTTGACTACAGTTCAGGTACTGTGTCAGAGTAATGTAATTTCAATGCTTTTTTTCAACCCACTACCCATTTTTATCATTTGCAAGTACCTTATTACTTCTCCATCTGTCGGAGAAAACCCTAGGATAGCCCTTGTTAGTTAGCCACAGGAAATCTGGTTATACCCCAATTTTTAGTTGAAATTTCTGCCACTGGCAGAGTTCTCAGTGACATCATTCTTCTATCCACACTTTTTTCACAGAAGTATTTTTATAATAATACTTTCTAGTAAAAACACAAATAGAAGCAGAAAAGAGCACCTCTTAAAAATCTCTAATCAAACCTGGAGCCAGCTCTGTTTTTTGCCCTGTACATTATTTGGAAACTACAGATCCCCCCCGCCATTGCTATCCTGGATCCATTGCAGCTGGAATAGACTGGAATAAGACTGATGAAATTCGGGTCAAGTGTCTGAAAATCTGGGTGTTTGTTTGAAGGCACTCAAATATCATCTCTAAAAGATTTGGCTCCATTTCCTGTTGCATCATTCATAAACTTCCTCAGGCTCGTAATCGGGTTATTTATTTAAATCGAATGCATTTCAGAAAGTTCCTTGGCTTGAGACAATATTGACTATTGCTTCATTTTGTGACATAAGCACTCGGTGTTGATCAGTCTTGTTTAACCCAGTTGATGATGGACAGGAGGTCAGCATGGCTAAATTAAATTTATTGGTAGTTTGTTAAAGAATACTAATTTAACCTATAATTTCTGCCTTCTCCACAACCAAGCCATCACTTCTTCTTTGAAAAAGTATTCAGTTAATCTATCTCAAGTTTCCTTTTTTTCCCTTTTCTCCATTACATTGACATGTGTCCACATTGCCCATATGAACACAGAGTAGCTAAGGCAGAATCAAAATGGTCAGGGGCACAGCCTAAATGTTTACACACTGAATTCAAGATCTTAGGCAAGTTTAACACATTCACATTTTCTTTATACTATATTTATAGCATCATTTCCTCAGCCTGTGTTATAAGCCACTGAGTAATTTTGACTTTTTGTTCAAATATCATAAAAGTTGTTAATATAAGCATGACAGTTTTAGCTATCATTCTTATTTCCTTTTTTCTAGATCATCTTTCAACTAGTTAATATAAACAATTTTCTCAAATAAAAATGAGCTTTCCTTTTCTGAAAGAGCTGTCTCTTTTCCCAGTTGAAAAAAAAATGCAAACTAAAGATGTTCAAAACGTTGTCTTTGAGACTGACAGATGACCTGCCTGCTTTCACTGTTCTCATTCAAACTCAGCTGGAATTCTGATGACCAGACATCACAGAGCTTCATGACAGGCCAGTGGCTCTGATGACGGCAAAGCACACCACAGGCAGTAAATTGACTCAGAAAAGCAAATGAACAATTATTTCAATTACTGAAAAATAAATATCTTATATCCATTAGAAATTAAATCTTTTCTTTAAATAAAGCTGCTAAGCATTTCCCCAAAACTTTCATATGAGGAATCTGGGGAGCATAAAATTAAATGATGATAATGATGATCTTAAAATACTTCCTGCTATGTTTAGTGCTTTTGAAAATTTAATTACTATGTACGTATCTTATAAAACTACAGAAGTGCAAATTTAAAATTTCCAACCTTTTAAATTTCATAAACTGAGGTCACCTAGCTTTTACTTTTGATATTAAATTTTGGTATTTTGCTTTATTTTTCAATTTTTACTCTAGCATTTTATAAGATTGAGAGATGAAGCCAGCTGGACTTCCTGGGTCGAGTGGGGACTTGAAGAACTTTTCTGTCTAGCTAGAAGATTGTAAACGCACCAATCAGTGCTCTGTGTCTAGCTAAAGGATTGTAAATGCACCAATCAACACTCTGTAAAAATGCACCAATCAGCGCTCTGGGTCTCGCTAAAGGATTGTAAACGCACCAATCAGCACTCTGTAAAAACGCACCAAATCAGCACTCTGTGTCTAGCTAAAGGATTGTAAATACACCAATCAGCATTCTGCAAAATGGACCAAACAGCACTCTGTAAAACGGACCAATCAACGCTCTGTAAAATGGATCAATCAGCAGGACGTGGGCAGGGACAAATAAGGGAATAAAAGCTGGCCACCCCAGCCAGCAACTGCAACACGCTCAGGTCCCCTTTCACATTGAGGAAGCTTTGTTCTTAAGCTCTTCACAATAAATCTTGCTGCTGCTCACTCTTTGGGTCCACACCACCTTTAAGAGCTGTAACACTTGCCGTGAAGGTCTGCAGCTTCATTCTTGAAGTCAGCAAGACCATGAACCCAGCAGAAGGAAGAAACTCAGGACACATCTGAAGGAACAGACTCCAGACCCACCACCTTTAAGAGCTGTAACACTCACCACGAAGGTCCGCGGCTTCATTCTTGCAGTCAGCGAGACCAAGAACCCACTGGAAGGAACCAATTCTGGACACACTTTGGTGACCCAGATGGGGCAATCAGCTATCGCCAAGTGGGGAGTACCATCGGATCCCTTTCACTTGCTATTCTGTCCTACTTTTCCTTAGAATTTGGGGGCTAAATACTGGGCACCTGTCAGCCAGTTGAAAGTGACTAGTGCAGCTGCCAGACTAAAGACATGAGTGTCAGGCTTTCTGGGAAAGGGCTCTCTAACAACCCCCAACTCTTTGGAGTTGGAAGCGTTGGTTTGCCTGGAACCAGGTTCCACATCTCCTGTACTTCTGGGCTGAGCCGAGGGTCACCAGAGAGGAAAGCCATTCAGCTTCGGGGTCCCAACAACAAGTTGGTTGACCTTGTGGCCATGAGTGGAACTCTCAAAGTCACATCGCCCAAGTGAGACTTGCCCTTCTATCCTATCTATCCTGACCCTTGCCTCCTGGGTCCTAACGCCTGTCAGACAAACTTCTTCTCGCCTCTCTTCTCCGAGGCTAGTTCCACTTCTAAAAGCCACTCCTGGCCGGGTGCGTTGGCTCATGCCTGTAATCCCAGCACTTTGAGAGGCCAAGGTGGGTGGATCATGAGGTCAGGAGATCGAGACCATCCTGGCTAACACAGTGAAACCTTGTCTCTACTAAAAATACAAAAAATTAGCCGGGCGTGGTGGTGGGCCCCTGTAGTGCCAGCTACTTGGGAGGCTGAGACAGGAGAATGGCATGAACTGGGGAGGCCGAGATTGTGCCACTGCACTCTAGCCTGGGTGACACAGCAAGACTCCATCTCACAAAAAAAAAAAAAAAAAAAAAAAAAAAAAGAATAAAAACCACTCCCTGTCTCTGGTGCTTTTCCAGTTTCTCCTATAAGAATAATTTCTAGTATAAACTCCAGGACTCCATTCCCTTCTTTAGGCACCCGGGCTCATCAATCAGAAAGACATATTTTTTGCCCAAAGCCCCATCGTGGTGGGGGAGGGGCAGACTATCTTCTCTGAAATGTTAGGATCCCTCCTCAGACTAGCAGGCCTAACAAAAGCTATTCCTGAAGCTAGGATATGGGGAGCTTCAGAAATGATATCCTTCCTATTCAGGTGAGGACAAAAGGCATCACTCCTCCAACCCTGGAGATCACTTCCCTCCCTCGGGGTATGGCCCTCCACTTCATTTTTGGGGCATAACATCTTTACAGGACAGGGGTAAAGTCCCAATACTAACAGGAGAATGCTTAGGACTCCAACAGGTTTTCGAGAATGTGTCAGTAAGGGCCACTAAATCTGACCTTCCTCAGTCCTCTTTGTGGTCTAAGAGGACAGGCAAGGGTGCAGGTTTTTGAGAATGTGTTAGTAAGGGCCACTAAATCCAACCTTCCTCAGTCCTCCTTGTGGTCTAGGAGGAAAACTAGTGTTTCTGCTGCTGCGTAGGTGAGTGCAACTATTCTGATCAGCAGGGTCTAGGGACTGTCGCGGGTTCTTGGGTAGGGGGGGTGTGGGGAAACAAACAAACCAAAACTGCGGACGGTTTTGTCTTTCAGGTGGGAAACACTCAGGTATCAACCGGCTTACCCTTGAAATGCATCCTAAGCTATTGGGACCAATTTGACCCGCAAACCCTGAAAAAGAGGCAACACATTTTTTTCTGCACTATGGCCTGGCCCCAGTATTCTCTCTCTGATGGAGAAAAATGGTCACCTGAGGGAAGTATAAATTACAATACTATCCTGCAGCTTGATCTTTTCTGTAAGAGGGAAGGTAAATGGAGTGAAATACCTTATGTCCAAGCTTTCCTTTCATTGAAGGAGAATCCACAACTATGCAAAGCTTGCAATTTACATCCCACTAGACGACCTCTCAGCTTATCCCCATATCCTAGCCTCCCTATTGCTCCCCTTCCTATTAATGATAAGCCTCCTCTAATCTCCCCTGGCCAGAAGGAAACAAGCAAGGAAATCTCCAAAGGACCACAAAAACCCCCGGGCTATCGGTTATGTTCCCTTCAAGCTGTAGGGGAAGGGGAATTTGGCCCAACCCGGGTACACGTCCCCTTCTCCCTCTCTGATATAAAGCAGATCAAAGCAGACCCATGGAAGTTTTCAGATGATCCTGATAGGTACACAGATGTCCTACAGGATCTAGGGCAAACCTTTGACCTCACTTGGAGAGAAGTCATGCTACTGTTAGATCAAAACCTGGCCTTTAGTTAAAAGAATGCAGCTTTAGCTGCAGCCTGAGAGTTTGGAGATACCTGGTATCTTAGTCAAGTAAATGATAGAATGACAGCCAAAGAAAGGGACAAATTCCCTACCAGTCAGCAAGCCATCCCCAGTATGGAGCCCCACTGGGACCTCAACTCAGATCATGGGGACTGGAGTCAAAAACATCTGTTGACCTGTGTTCTAGAAGGACTAAGAATTAGGAAAAAGTCCGTGAATTATTAAATGATGTCCACCGTAACTCAGGGAAAGGAAGAAAATCCTTCTGCCTTCCTCGAGCGGCTACGGGAGGCCTTAAGAAAATATACTCCCCTGTCACCTGACTCACTCAAGGGTCAATTGGTCCTAAAAGATAAGTTTATTACCCAATCAGCTGCATATATCAGGAGAAAGCTCCAAAAGTGAGCCCTGGGTCCTGAACAAAATCTGGAGGCATTATTAAACCTGGCAACCTCAGCGTTCTATAATAGGGACCAGGGGAACAGGCCGAAAAGGAAAAGCGAGATCAGAGGAAGGCTGCAGCCTTAGTCATGGCCCTCAGACAAACAAACCTCAGTGGTTCAGAGAGGACAGAAAATGGAGCAGGCCAATCACCGGGTAGGGCTTGTTATCAGTGTGGTTTGCAAGGACACTTTATTTTTTTTTTAAACTTTTAATTAAAAAGTAAACTTTAATGTCGAAAATGCAAACTTGGGGAAGACAGAAAAGATCACACACAAGGCTGTCACTTAACACTTGGAAGGTTGCACAGTGGCTGGGCAGAGGTGCTCCTCACTTCCCAGATGGGGCAGCGACCAGGCAGAGACACTTCTCACTTCCCAGACGGTGGGGCGGCCGGGCAGAGGCACTCCTCCCTTCTCAGACAGTTGGTGGCCGGGCAGAGGGCATTCCTCACATCCCAGATGGTTGGTGGCCAGGCAGAGGCGCTCCTCACTTCCCAGACAGTTGGTGGCTGGGCAGAGGCGCTCCTCACTTCCCAGACAGTTGGTGGCCGGGCAGAGGTGCTCCTCACTTCCCAGATGAGGCAGCGGCCAGACAGAGGCGCTCCTCACTTCCCAGACTGGGCGGCAGCCAGGCAGAGGTGCTCCTTACTTCCCAGATGGTTGGCGGCCGGGCAGAGGCACTCCTCACTTACCAGTCAGTTGGGCGGCAGGGCAGAGACGCTCCTCACTTCCCAGATGGGGTGGCGGCCAGGCAGAGACACTCTTCACTTACTAGACAGGGCAGCGGCCGGGCAGAGGTGCTCCTCAGTTCCCAGACAGTGGGCAGCTGGGCAGAGGCACTTCTCACTTCCTGGATGGTGGGCAGTCAGTCCGAGGTGCTCCTCACATGCCAGATGGGGCAGCAGCTGGGCAGAGGCCCTCATCACTTCCCACATGGTTGGCGGCCAGGCAGAGGTGCTCCTCACTTCACAGGCGGTTGGCAGGCCGGCAAAGGCACTCCTCACTTGCCAGATGGGGCGGCAGCTGGGCAGAGGCACTCCTCACATCCCAGACAGTGGGCAGCTGGGCAGAGGCGCTCCACACTTCCCAGATGGTTGGGCAGCCGGGCAGAGGCGCTCCTCACATCCCAGATGGGGTGGCAGCTGGGCAGAGGTGCTCCTCACTTCCCAGATGGGGCAGCAGCCGGGCAGAGGCACTCCTCATGCAAGGACACTTTAAAAAAGATTGTCCTATGAGAAACAAGCTGCCCCCTCGCCCATGTCCACTATGCCGAGGCAATCACTGGACAGCACACTGCCCCAGAGGACAAAGGTTCTCTGGGCCAGAAGCCCCCAACCAGATGATCCAACAACAGGACTGAGGGTGCCTGGGGCAAGCACCAGCTCATTGATGGCCAGGAAATTGACTTCCTCCTGGACACTGGCATGGCTTTCTCATTGTTAATCTCCTGTCCTGGACAGCTGTCCTCAAGGTCTGTTACCATCTGAGGAATCCTGGAACAGCCTGTAATCAGGTATTTCTTCCACCTCCTCAGTTGTCACTGGGAGACTTCGCTACAGATAGTAAGTATGCTTATCTAATCCCACATGCCCATACTGCAATATGGAAAGAAAGGGAGTTCCTAACCTCTGGGGGAACCCCCATTAAATACCACAAGGAAATCATGGAGTTGTTGCACGCAGTGCAAAAACCCAAGGAGGTGGCAGTCTTACACTGTCGAAGCCATCGAAAAGGGGAAGGTGAGGGGAGAACAGCAGCATAAGCGGCTAGCAGAGGCAGGGAAAGACCAGCAGAAAGGAAAGAGAGAAAGAGAAAGTCAGAGAGAGAGAGAGAGAGAGAGGAAGAGACAGAGACAAAGAGGAGTCAGAGAGACAGAGAAAGAGACAGAAAGTCAAAGAGAGAGAGGAAGAGACAGAGAAAAAGAGGGAGTCAGAGAGAGAGAGAAAGAGAGAGACAGAAAGTCAAAGAGAGAAAGGAAGAAACAGACAAAGAGGGAGTCAGAAAGAGAGAGACAAAGAAGAAAAAGAAAAAGAAAGAGAGATGAAAATACTAAAGAAAACACAGTGTATCCTATTCCTTTAAAAGCCAGGGTAAATTTAAAACCTATAATTGATAATTGAAGGTCTTCTCCGTGGTACTCCAGTACCACCTTGTTGTCAGTGTAAACAAGGGCATAGCCCGAAAGCACTGAGGCCACTGACAACCCATAGCCTTCCTAACAAAAATCCTTAACCCAGCAGGTTTCCTAACAGGGGATCTAAATCTTAATTACCATACAAAGGTCTGACCAGACCAAGGAGGAACTCCCTTCAGGACAGGAGATAGATGTTTCCTCCCAGGCGATTAAGGGAAAAAGACACAATGGGTATTCAGTAAATGATAAGGAAACTCTTGCAGAAGCAGGGTTAGGAAAATTGCCTAACAACTGGTCTGCTCAAACGTGCCAGCTGTTTGCACTCAGCCAAACCTTAAAGTACTTACAGAATCAGGAAGGAGCCATCTATACCAATTCTAAGTTAATATGGGCTGAATGAGGTCTTATTAATAGCAAAGAATAATTGAAATCCCAAACTTACAAGGTTTTCAACAAAAGTAAAGTTTGCTAAAAAAGTTAACAGTGTAACTTGTATTATCCTAACTTCTAATCTTACGGAAATCATACCCTATCTGTGCCCCTCAAAGCTCAAGTCCAAGAGTGCAGGGCCATACAACTAATACCCCTACTTATACGGTTAGGAATGGCTGCTGCTACAGAAACTAGAATAGCAGGTATATCTACTACATTATCCTACTACTACAAACTCTCAAAGGATTTCTCAGACAGTTTGCAAGAAATAACAAAATCTATCCTTACTCTACAATCCCAAATAGACTCTTTGGCAGCAGTGACTCTCCAAAACCGCCAAGGCCTAGACCTCCTCAATGCTGAGAAAGGAGGACTCTGCACCTTCTTAGGGGAAGAGTGTTGTTTTTACACTAACCAGTCAGGGATAGTAGGAAACGCTGCCCGGCATTTACAGGAAAAGGCTTCTGAAATCAGACAATGCCTTTCAAATTCTTATACCAACCTCTGGAGTTGCACAACATGGCTTCTCCCCTTTCTAGGTCCCGTGACTGCCATCTTGCTATTACTCGCCTTCAGGCCCTGTATTTTTAACCTCCTTGTCAAATTTGTTTCCTCTAGGATCAAGGCCATCGAGCTACAGGTGGTCTTACAAATGGAACCCCAAATGAGCTCAACTAACAACTTCTACCAAGGACCTCTGGACTGACCCACTGACCCTTTCACTGGCCTAAAGAGTTCACCTCTGGAGGACACTACAACTGCAGGGCTGCTACTTTGCCCCTATCCAGCAGGAAGTAGCTACAGTGGTCATTGCCCAATTCCCAACAGCAGTTGGGGTGTCCTGTTTAGAGGGGGGATTGAGAGGTGAAGCCAGCTGGACTTCCTGGGTCGAGTGGGGACTTGGAGAACTTTTCTGTCTAGCTAGAGGATTGGAAACGCACCAATCAGTGCTCTGTGTCTAGCTAAAGGATTGTAAATGCACCAATCAGCACTCTGTAAAAACGCACCAAATCAGTGCTCTGTGTCTAGCTAAAGGATTGTAAACACATCAATCAGCACTCTGTAAAATGGACCAATCAGCACTCTGTAAAATGGACCAATCAACGCTCTGTAAAATGGATCAATCAGCAGGACATGGGAGGGGACAAATAAGGGAAGAAAAGCTTGCCACCCCAGCCAGCAGCAGCAACCCACTTGGGTCCCCTTCCACGCTGTGAAAGTTTTGTTCTTTTGCTCTTCACAGTAAATCTTGCTGTTGCTCACTCTTTGGGTCCACACCACCTTTAAGAGCTGTGACACTCATCACGAACGTCCACGGCTTCATTCTTGAAGTCAGCGAGACCACAAACCCACCAAAAGGAAGAAACTCTGGACACATCTGAAGGAACAAACTCCAGACACACCATCCTTAAGAGCTGTAACACTCACCGCGAAGGTCCGCGGCTTCATTCTTGAAGTCAGCAAAACCAAGAACCCACTGGAAGGAACCAATTCTGGACACAAGATGAATACTAAATTATGATTATTGGTAGTTTGAATTACTTTCTGTTCATTTCTTTCTGAGCCTGTTCTTTAGAAATGAGCTTTTGAAACATCTGAACATGCACCAAATGAGGATGCCTCACAGGGCCTAGTCTGTCAGTAAGCACACTGCTCTCCATCCCCAGAAATGAGCTGACCAGAAATATCATCAGGGTAATTTGACATTTGCTAAGAATATAAGGTCCCCCACGTACCCTCACAGTATCATAAATCTCAGTAATTTCTGTCAGCAAAGGCAAAGGTTCATCTAATTGCAGGCTTCCCTTTTATGGAGCGAGAACCAAAGTTCAGCAACTCCCAGCTGGCCTCTGGTTTCAAGCGGGATAAACTAACTGTGCAGGAAAGACTTCCCTGGCATCTGTGTTTACTCTTGACTGACACGTTATCAAGATCCCACCCTCTGCTACTTTCTGGAATCCTGCGTAAAAAAACTATTTGTATTTCATCTATGAGGGTATGCACATTTATTTTGACGACACTGTTTATTTGGGAAGCACCATCTCTCCAAGAATGTCACATTAGTAACTGGTAATGAGGAATTTTTTTCCCACAATTCCCATCACTATCCTTAAAGTTCTTGTTTCTTACACGAGGTGTAATAGTTAATGCTTTGATACTCTCTCTAGTCATTGGTCAAAGCTGCAATTTACCGTCATATATTTATCTAAAGCAAACTTCCTTACTGAATAAGGCAAAATGTCAACATAGAAGTGACTAAATAAAGCACCAAATTGTCAGGATAATTCTTGAACTGTTGTTGGATTGTAGTATTTATATGACAACTCCGTGGAGGCATTACTTAATCAGAAGAGCTAATGTAAAGTACCTCTGGGTGACATTCAACCACAAGAGGAAAAGTGATATAGGATAATGACGTAACAATTGAAGAATAGAAGGATGTAAAAATAAGGGTGTGTGTGGAATGCTCATTTATTTGTTAGTGAAATGAAATGTTTGAGCATCTACATGCTCTGAGAGACTGAAAAGGAGAGAACGAAAATAAGTGGAAGTAAGCCTCTGGAGAAGTTCAGAGGGAATAAAATTTGTAGAAAAACGTAGGTCAGACTTGAATAGGGGAATGTCATGTCATCCTCTAAAAAGAAGGAAAAGAGGGAGGTTGGAGCAGAACCAGAGACAGATCTTTGGTTATTTTTCTTTTCTCTGTGGAGTGTGAGGCAAGATCATATAATGTTAATTTAAAAGTTGCAAGTAAAGGAAAAAGCTCCTGGAAAGGGGTAAATATTTATAACAACTCCTTCAGATAGAATAGAAAACACACCAGAAACCAGCAAAGAAGCTGAAAGCAGCAGAGTATCCAATGGGGATAGCGATGGATTTGTACCATCTCCATTTCATACACATACTTACCTGGTTTTTCTCCAGCAACGCCTGACTGCTGGTGGTTGGAGCAGGAAAAATCGATTATTGGCAAGATCCAAATTGGGAGTAACAAATAAAAAGGGTAGGAATAGAAGCAGTTGGCAAGGGTACTCTTAAAGTAATTGACCTAGGCTACACAGAGAAGGAAGCAAGATCCAGAGGAAGCTCATTGACTATGAGAAAGTGCATATGTTTATCTGTATCAGGGGCAGGGATCGTGGGGAGTTTAAAGAATGAAAGTCCTGCTGAACTGGAACCATAGCTATAGGGGGAGAAAGAAACTAAGAGAGCTGGAAGTAAAGAAGGTCACTGTCCAAGAGTGAACTGTCAGATTTAGAGATTTCAGATATAGCTGTCTGGAGCAATGTCAAAGCCTGAGGACTTGCCTTGGAAGTAGGTTTCTAAAAATCGGGTGCTTTAGTGCTTAAAATGAAAACTGATGAAAGTGTGAGGTCAAAGCATCAGAGTGCTGAATGTTCATCCACATGGACTTCAATGTTAAGAATACTCTCAGAAGTAGGAAAGGAGAGGACATATGTGAGCCACATATTTGATAAATATCAGGGAATAATCTGGAGGTGACGGGCAACAGCAACAAGGACTGACAGAAGCTATGGAAATTGCCAAAGAGGAGAGGCTTTCCTTTTGGTCAGAAAGCAGAGATCTGCATTATCAACATGGAAAGATAAGACAACACTTGGTCCACCTCACAAGGTTACTCAGGGACTCACATAAAATAATGGACATAATAAGTCCTCCAAGGAGTGTTAAATGTAATTTAAATGAAAATTACTATTATCATGTATAAAATTATGTATAGATATAGATATTAAAGTCTGTACACACACACACAAAAGACCTTATCAGTCTTAGATACTGTCAATACCATTTACTATTAATATATCAGCAACTCTTATAATTTACATCTTAGACTTTATATTAACAATTCTCAAAGCATTTCATGCACATATTTCAGTATCTTCTCACAAAAACCTTGGGAGATAAATAGTGTAGATGTTGTTATTCACAGATGAGGAAACTGAGGATCAGAGACAAGTAGTGATTTGGCTAAGGCCGCTGTTAGTGACAGAGCCAAGACTGAAATTTTGATGAAAGAAATTTACAACTTCTAACTGCTATAGGACAGGAGAAAGCTTTTTACCAGGTGTTTATTTGCTTCCTGTTTTTCCTATACAACAACATCTAGGACATTTGGACACCTGATAACTCTGTTCTATATTTTTTTTCTTAATTACCATGTATTAGAATATTAGAACTCTGTGAACTTAAATGTATTGAATTTGCAAGGAAACTCTAACCTCAACAGCTAATTTCCTCTTCAAGGCTCCAAATGTTTACCTATTTGGTACAACTGCTTTCCAAACTGTCCTTGATAACAAAGACACTCTGTTCTTGAAAAATTTGATCATCGAAAAAGAAGAAAATCATTTTTCATTGATTTTCAGGCAAATATGATGCTACTTTTAATAGAAATGTGTCTACTACATTCAAACAAAATGGGAATATTTCAACACCCAAAGCATTCTTTAGGTTAGTTCTCAAAGGAGATTTTTGAGTTGGAACTCTCTCCTAACCAAAATTATGCTTTCAATAATAACTATATTTTTATGTTAATTGCTTGCTTAATGATTACATTTTAAACTTTGTGGGCCTAATTTTCCTCGTCTGTGATCCCTGGGATTGATGCGACAAACTTTTTGTAAAGTGTCTTGCACTTGTGAAACATTCAGTAATTAGTAAGGGTGATTTTAATCAGCCATAATTTGTAATTCTGAATTTCATCCTTAGAGTATTTCCTTCTTTTGTGTAAAATGTATCACTAGGGTGACACCAACAAGAGAAAATAAACTATTGCAAACTTGAATGGTTGCAAACTTGAAACCACAGCCTAACGTAGGAGAGGTTTACATACTAATTACTTAAAATGTGAAGCAGATAGGGAATCATCTCCTTAAGCAAGATACAAATACCTGAAAACAAAGAGAAAATATTCAGCAACTTCAGCTACATTAATAGTAAGAACTTCTGTGCTTCAAAAACACACAAAAAAGGAAGTGAAAAGACAATTCACAAACTGGAACATATATTATAAACCAACAGTATGAGTCATCGTTAATCTGTTTATGACACCAGGCAACAGCAAGTAAATAGTTCTGTAAGGAACTCCACTCATACTGCTTTTACTGCTAGGGTGTCCAGCTTGCTACTGTGTCCCTGTGATTTAAAAGACACAGGAAAGATACATCTTTAGTTTAGTTTTGTTTTTCCTGCTTCTTTAACATCTCTCTGCATCTTGGTTCATGCACAATTGGAGACTCATCACACGAACAGTCTAAGACTCGTCAAAGTCATGCAACTAGAACAGGGTTCTTCAGTAGCCTCTGTGTCTGTCCTACTCCTCAGTTCATGGCTCAGAGCTGGAGCTCCCTTCACTCTCCCCTCCGTTCTTCCCTCTTCTTAGCCTTAGATATGCCCTTCTCCTTTTCCCGTCTCTGCAGGGCCAGCCGGGGTGTCCAGAATACCAAGGGCCTTCAGATGTTGGATGACCAGTATGTCACCAATATCACACCCTGTGAGGGAGATGGAAACTAGGCCTGCTGGTACCAAGAGTTGGGCTAGGGAGGGAGTGAGGGTGGAGGACAAAAGAACAGGGAGAGGAAGCTAGCTCATCCGAGAACTTTGATGCTAAATTTCCTTTTGGAGCAGAAGCCAATTCCTGTCTAGATGCAGGCATGAGAAACAAGCAAAATGGCAGCAGCCGCGTCGGCAAAAGTAAACCCAGCTGTATTCCTAGGGACTAACTGCCTCATCAAGGCCTCGTGCCTGCATAAGTGAAGAATGGGAAAGAGACCTAAATAGGTGTACTATGCAATTCCTGATTGTTCTTCCTAAATGAAGCTTGGTGCAATCGATTTTGAAAAAGCTAAATGGCCTTAATAATAAGGGAAACACTTCCATAGTACTGTATTACGTGTTGAGCTCTGTCCTAAGCAGGTAACACACACGAACTCATTTACTTCTCAGTACAGCCCCTTAGAGGGTATCTATTATTAGGTCAAACCATATGAAATTGCCAACACTCAACCATTTTGACCTACAAAGGGCAATTGTGCATGGTTCAATCTGCATTTCACCTGCATTTTACAGATGAAGAAAGCCAAATGCAGAACATTCAAGTAACTTGCTAGTAAGTGACAAACCCTGATCTAGGCAATAGGGCTCCTGTTTCTGTGGCCGTGATTAACTGTGGAAATATCTGCCTCTCTACCACACTGAAATAAAATGATGGAAATGGTTTCTTCCAACCTAAAAATTCTATCCACGAATCTGTCTCCCAGTCTCCACACACCTATCTCTTCTTGACTTGCCTGTTTCTTTTGAAATGATATCACTGCTCACTCAGTCACTCAGCTGGAAATCTAAGAATGGATTTTGATTTCTTTATTTCTCTACCACCAGAATTCAAATCATATTTATTAAGTCTATCTCAGCAGAAGCTGCAGAATCATAGGACATGAGAGTGGAAAGGAACTTTAAAGATAATCTAGTCGTTTATCTGATGTAGACATAGAGCACAATCAGGACAATAGTCTGAACTCCTGGGTTCTGGTCACTGCTCTTCTCTGTCTACTACAGTTGTCACAATGGACAAATGCTGTGGATAATACCTCTTTGCTTCTCCAGAACTTCGGGACCAACTGTAATGCTGTAACTCTCACATATGACAATAGCTTGACTCACTAAACACATACTCAGTGTCAATCACTCTTCTAACGGAAGAATGAATTAGCAGATCAACTCTATGGTGGTTACTATTATAAACCCCATTTAACAAATAGAAAACTAAGGCACAGAGAAATAAAGTGATTTGTCCACGGTCACACATCTTGTAGACTAGCTCTAGAGGCTATGTCCTCCATTCATCCTTCATCCTGTCCTATCCTTCAGTGGGCAAACCTCAGACTTTGAGAAGGGGTTCCCAGGTCTCCCCTCACTCTGGGCTGAGTTGAATGTCCTATCTGCCAAACTCTCACAGCCTCTATTCATTATCACATTTATGTAAGTGACTACTTAGTTGTCTATTTTCTCCACTGGATTGCAAATGCCTTCAGGGCAATGACTGTGTTTTACTCTTCTTAATATTCACAGAATTTAATACAATACTTGGTACAATAATCATTGAATAAATACTCGTTGAATGAATGCGTCAAAGAATGAATGGCCACCTAGCTAATCTTTCTGCCTTCAATCTCTCCTTATTCCATGTCTTCCACCTTGATGAGAGTTGGGGGAACTAATGAGACAGTAAATGTGTGAGTATAATGAAGACAAGTGGGCCTTGTCTTCATTTGCCTTCCTTAATAATAAAAGATAAGCCTTTTGGTTATTTCTCCCCAAATGTTTGGTCAAGACCTTTCCACACTATTAATTTTTTTCACCAATAACCCTTATGTCTAGGATCCAAATTAATTTTAAATTGTATACTTTGATTTTTTAGAGTGATCTATTTCCAAGGGGATGCATTTATTTGTTTTATTTTACTTAATCTATTAGACCAGAAATTAGGTTCCTGCAAGCAGATTAAATGAGCATTTGACCTTAACACTGAACAGCCTAGGCTATTCACAGTCAAAATGGGCTGCAGAAGTCATTATAGTGAGATATGTTTTAAATGACTTGATCCTTAAATGTGTTCATTCTGAGGCATCCAGACTGCTACTGTGTGCCCGTGATTTAAAATGAAATGCAGAATTCTAATGATTAATGTAGAGTCAATTGAATATCCACATGGAAAAACATGTATTTTATTTCTCACATCACACAAAAAATTAATTTCAGATGGATAGTATAACTTTTAGTGTAAAAGGCAAAACAACACAATTTTTAGAAAAGAACATCTTGCTTCATGAGTAGGCAAAAAATACTATGAAGAACACCACTAATAAATTGAACTCTATTAAGATTAAGAATTTGTGTTCATTAAAAGATAAAAAAGAGCAAAAAGGCCAGGCATAGATTGGGAGAAGACATTGACAAAGCACATATCTAACAAAGGAATTGTATCCAGAACATATAACGTATACCCACAAATAACTATGAAAAAGATAGATAACCCAATAGACAAATGAGCAAAGACTTGGGGGACATCACAAGAGAAGATATCCAAGTGGCCAAAAAATATATAGAAAGGTGCTCAATCTTTTCACTCACCAGAGAAATACAAATAAAACTACCATGCCTCACAACTACTCTCTCACCCAAATGGTTAAAATGAAAATGACAGAAAATAAGAAGTGTTGACAAGAATGTGGAACAAGGGAAATTCTTGACTACCACTGCTGGGAGTATTACTTGAACGATCACTTTGGAAAACGCTTTGGCAGATTTATTAAAGCTCTTTGCATAAAGCAATTTCACACCTAAGTATACCCCAAAGAAATGTGTACGTATGTTTAACAAAAGACATTCTCAAGAATGCTCATAGCAGCTCTAGTCCTAAGAAACTCACAATGGAAACTACTAAAGTCTTCATCAACAGAATGCATAAAGTATGGCATATTCACAGTATGGAGTATTACACAGCAATGTGAATGAATAATCTACAAATACACACAATAATTTGAAAGATCTCACAAACATAATATTGAGTAAATAAGCCAGATGTAAAAAAAAGTATTACTATATAATTTCATTTATACAAACTCCAAAAACTGGTAAAGCTAATCTATGTTTGAACTTGGCTAATCTGTGACTTAGAAGTCAAGACAGTGGATAATCTGGGAGGCACTAGGTACTGACTGCCCAGGAGTATGAGGGGAGCTTATAGGATGCTGATAAATGTTTTTCTGCTTTTCTTTTTTAACTTGGAAGATAGAATCTGGGAGGTGTCTGTGTGTGTTAAATGCATTTGTGATATATTCACTTTTCCACACAGATGTTATACCTAAAAAATAATAAAGATCATGTGGAGAAGAAACTCTTGGTGAAGTCAGTAGTCATTACTTATGTTCACTATTAATCCATACCAAAAATATATGTACTTTTTTTTAGTACACAGAAAGTGGTTTGCAGATAGTTTCATCTCATTTTCCATTGTGATAATAAGAAGTCAAGTAATAATTTCCTGGGTGTTATGGGTTGAATTGTTTTATATGTTGAAGTCCTAAACCTCAGTACCTTAGAATGTGACCTTATTTGGAAATATGATCACTGCAAATACAATTAGTTAAGATGAGGTCATACTGGAGTGGGGGGGGGTCCCTAATCCCATATGATGGATGTCTTTATAAAAAGACAGATATACGCATAGAAAGAAGAGGATGTGAGACACAAGGAGAAGACAGCCATCTATTAGCAAAGAGAGGTCTGGAACAGATCCTTCCCTCACAGCTCTCAGAAGCCAACCCCGCTGACACCTGGATCTCAGACATCTAGCCTCCAAAACTGTGAGACAATACACTTCTTTTGGTTAAGCCGCCCAGTTTGTGGTACTTTGTTACAGCAGCCCTAGCAAATGAATACATTGGGAAGACTGAAAGGTTAAGTAACTTGCCTTTGAATACAGCCATATAGCAGGAAGTTAAGTAACTTGCCTTTTGATACGCAGCCATATAGCAGGAAGTGAAGGTGATATCAAGGGTTCTTCTGCACCGGAAACACCCACCTCCCACAGTCTACCTCAATTAGCATCTCATACACTTGGCAAGGCTACTGTAGGGAATGGAGAGCCATGGAAGGTGTTATGCAGGGGAATGACATAATCCTTTCTCTGTTTTGGAACAATGTAATGCTCATGAATCACTGAAGATGAAATATAAAATCCTATGTATCCCAAACAGCTGTACAGTCTCTGTGAGGAATCTTCAGAAGGCATCTTTCCTGAACTGACAGTGGCCAAAGTCTAGAGGACTTCAAGGAACTAAAATGGCCCACTTAATGGCTCCTAAAGCAGTCATTACCCCATGTTGTTCTGGTCATGAATTCTGTGAGAATCTGTTGAAAGCTAGAAATCCTCTCATCAGACAATGCCTGTACTCATCTAGTTCAGGAGAATAAGTAAGGACTTATAGGGCAGATGGTTGGTTTTTGATCTTGCCTCCAGAAATAAAGACAGATAGCTGAAGATAATGGGGTTTTTCCACTTATCTTAGAGGAAGTAAGCAACTAACTACTGATCCTATGCCAAGATTCAACGGTATCATTCTGGAAACTTCATAACTTCTTCACATTGGTTATTTTTGCTCTTCCCCTCTCACTTTCCCCACAAGGATTAGCACTTAAGTACTTAAAACACCAAGAGTTTGTGTCTATCTTTAGATACAGAAGGAAAGTAAAGCTAGAGGATGCAAGCTACGTCTCAGCCAGTTTGAGGAAAGAGAGGACCTGGTGACACAGTGAGTAAACGAGAGGAGAGACACACAAGCTAATAACCCCCAAGCCTTGCGGTGGTGAATCAAGAACATTGTTTTCTGGGGAAGAATTTTCATGATCTTCCCTATGGAATTTTTCATAATTCATTTCAACTCTATTTCCCATCATACCCTCTTTTTTTTTTTTTTCCGAGACAGAGTCTCACACACAGTGGCGCAATCTTGGCTCATTGTAAGCTCTGCCTCCTGGATTCACACCATTCTCCTGCCTCAGCCTCCCGAGTAGCTGGGACTACAGGCACCTGCCAACATGCCCAGCTAATTTTTTGTATTTTTCGTAGAGATGGGGTTTCACCATGTTAGCCTGGATGGTCTCGATCTCCTGACCTCATGATCCGCCCGCCTTGGCCTCCCAAAGTGCTAGGATTACAGGCATGAGCCACCGTGCCCGGCCTCCCATCTTACTCTTATTGGTGTTAAGTGCTTGGTGCTATGGGAAGTCAAGTCATTGACTGGGGCTAGTTAGAAGAGGGAAGAAGGGAAAATAAAGATATATGAGCATTGTATATTTACACATTGGGTATCATTACTGAAAAATTGCACAAACTCCAAGTTGCAACCGGCCAAATATTGCTCAAAGAGTAGGGAGTACTAAAATTTGAGGGCTGGTACTATAACTTGTTTTGCATTCTATTTGCAAAGCTAAACACCCTGCCTGGCACATAGTAGGTACTCAGTAAATAGTACAAATGAATAAATGAATGAATGGAATGGAATTGTCATGGGATTTGCAGTCATAAGATGTGGATACTAGCCTTGATGCACCCACTAACTAGATGTGTGACAAGCCACTTTACGTCTTCAGGACTGGCTTTTATTTTCTTTAAGAGAATTGAACCAAATATAGATATGGTACTTGAACATTCTACAATTTCCAGTGTGAATATACTTAGTTAAGACAAAGCTATTTGCACTCACTACTATGTACTGTAGACAAGATGGTGTGATATGTGCCAACATATAGTATGTCTAGGAGTTCAAGGAAGTCTAATTTGGGAAAAGTTTGTTCTGTCCTAAAAGAAACTGAGACCTAAATTTATCTAAGTGTCATCCTGTGATCAGCAATGCATTCAGCGGCACTTGCATAACCATTGCCTCCGGCAGGACTGCACCAAAATAGCAGAAGGAAAAGAAGGAAGAGGCAATGTCACACTTCTGCTAAGAAGAGAGTTATGGCAAGTACAAGTTGCTGAGAAAGAAGCAAACTGCTCATTTGGATGAAGGAAATTAATTCTTTGAAGCCATCAAAGATTCCTGCAGCTTTGAGAATAGTTTGGTAAGTGGATCTCAATCCCCAGAAAACTCTTTGGTAAAAGAACAAGTGCCCATCTTTTAGATCATGTGCTTAGCTTCAGGGCAGATATGTCCTGAAGGTCTTGTGTAAACAAAACACAAGTGAAATAATATTCAATTCAAAATGAGACAATAGTTACAGTGAAATAGAGAAATACAAAGTTGGTTTTTTTACTTATTATTATTTACTGACATCAAGTTGGTTTCATTAATATTTACTTAATATCTATCAGAAACAAATATTATTTTAAGTAAACAGTTTCTCTTAAGTTTTAGGCAAATTGCTCTATGATTTCACTAACTGAATACCATCCATCTTTAAGATGCTAAAACTATGTTACTTCTATCCATACAACTTTCAGTATTAAATATCCTTTATTGAAAATAATAAGCAAAAATCTTTAATACATGCACAAACACTGACTTGTTACAGTTTCTTTTACTCAGTTTATCCATTTCTTCTGGGCAGATTCTTTTGGTTTCTTGACAATACTGTGCACTGGTGAATCTAACTCTGCTGGAAGTGCTTAAGTGGTTTCAAATATGTTGGGACCAGACACATAACTTAATTGCCATCCTAATTTCCAAGGATCTTGCTTTCAAGGATACCTGGGATTTTTGCTCACTTCTGTGGAATGTGCCCTCACAATGACCTGTGATAAATAGTGCACGATTTTTAAAAAATGATCTAAAATGTGGGGTGTTTTTATAACTATTTCTCATTTCTTGGCTCAGGAAATATTATTCTTGCCTCCTATGGTCATCCTGTTATTCATCAGCAGATGCTACTGATCCAACAGCTTCCCAGCTAAGATGGAAGGATGAGTAAGTGGTTGGAGAAGCCATATTTTTGTCTTTTCTACACAAATTCACAGGGAGGAGTGTTTGCTTTCTCTTCCTCCCTTCAGGTGTGGGCTTCAATGTTTTGGGGCTGTCTCTGGAGAAGCCTGGGAAGTTAAAATGCCTTAAAAGCAAGATGTCCAAAAGCCATAGGGGATACATATTATCAACTGCAGGATGAAAAATGCTTTTGCAAACCTGCAGCAGTTAAGGATACAAAATGATCTAGGACTTCGAAATAATACAGCTAAATCAACAAGCAAATGTTATTCTTAGTGTCTGGCAATTACAGTAAGGCTTTTTTTTCATTGTTTAACCACATTGTTTAATCAATTTTCATTGTTTAATTGCATTGTTTAATCACATTGATACATATATATATATATATATATATATATATATATATATATAAAATGTTCTTTGCTTTAATACTGGTGTTGATTAAAGTGGGAAAATGTCTATTGAATGAAGATGTCACCTGAAACCAGTCCTCTTTATAAAGTTAGATATCTCACAGAAATCTTCCAATCAATATGGCTGGCAATGAGACCCATAATCCAAACTCTGTGATCACACAGCACACCCTCGTCTGAAAATATTTTATGACAGCAGTAACAGAGCCAAGCACCAGGTCTCGAAGGTCTTATTTTCTGACTCTACGTTCCATGGAAATACCTGGACTAGCTATTCCAAAATCTCCCCCTATGCTGTGGCAGCTACTTATGAAAGCCCTGGGGATCCTCACGCCAAAGATTCTGATTCAGTAGGTTTAAGGTGGGGACAGAGAAATTTGTATTTCTGTCACCCAAAATTGAGGCTGTCACCCCTAAACTACCACTATTCATATAAAAGTGTGCATTAATAATAAAAAAAGATTGGCTTCATTATTGAAATAAAAATCAGAGGCGACTACTCATAGGAAATCCAATCTGCTCAGAGGTAATAAAATAAAACAGTTAAGTTATATTAGATTTAATTTCCCCCTTACCTCTGGATGCCGTAGTTTTATTTATCTGAGTGCCTATCCTGTATATATGAGTTCAAATGTTTGAATAAAATTTACAAGTGATCACCTTTGCGACTGTCTTCTGCTCTTTACATGGGCATGTAGCGTTAGCAACACCAGCCATCAACAAAAACTGGCATTGTCACGACTCCAATGCCAAAAATAGTTTGTTTCATTTTTAAAATTAATATTATTTTAAATTTACAAGTTATAATTTCATACATTCAGAGGATACAGTAGCCATCACTTATCTTTTTTTTGGTGAGACATTTGAAATTTACTTAGTTATTTTTAAATGTACATTATCATTGACTATAGTCATTCCGCTGTGCAGTAGATCTCAAAACGAATGCCTCCTGCCTAACTGAAAATTTGAACCCTTTGACCAGTAACTTCCCCCCACCTCCCCACACCCTGCACCCCTACCACTTTTTGCCTTCAACCTCTAGTAACCACCATTCTTCTCTCTACTTTTATTTATGAGTTCAATATGTTTAGATTCCACCTAAAAATGAGATGATGCAGTATTTCTCTTTCTGTGCCTGAATGCCAATAATGTTTGAGGACCTACTAGGAAGTCAATTTAACTATTTTATTTCTATCCCCTCATAAATTAAATAAATGAAAAACAAAACAATTAAGATTACCTATGGCAGGTGAGTTTCATAGCCTTAGAGCAGGGGTCAACAAACATTTTCTGTAAAGGACCACAAGGTAAATATATTAGGATTTAAAGGTCATAATAATTGATTGGTTAGGGCACTAAAGCAGTCATAGCCAATAGGGATGACTAGACGAATGATACAAGCTGTTTTCTGATAAAACTTTATTTATAGACACTGAAGGTTAAATTTCATATACGTTAAATTTCCTATAATTTTTCCCATGTCACAGAATATTATTCTTTTGATTTTTTCTAAGTTTTAAAAATATAAGAACCATTCTTAGTTCAAAGAATAAACAAAAAGGCAGGGGCCAGATTTCAGCCTTGGGCCAAAGCTGCTGACCCCTGGGCTGGAACACAGAGCTGATGAAGCCAAGGAAGAATTCTACAGCTGTGTGAACCTGTTTCTTCCATTATGCTCTGCTGCACTGTTCTTTGGCCATAAGTTGCATTTCTGCTTCCAGCCTACCACCATGCAAATGCATGGGGATCCAGGAAGTGGATATATGAGACTCAAAAACCAATGTTCCTACAGATGCCCTATGTAGTCACACTGTATTGCCCTGCAGGGGATGGCTTACAAAGATCAGATAAGGCCCAGGCCTACCACGGGACCTAAGAGGCCCTGGGGAGTCTTCCCCATTGTTTATGCCTCAGGTCACATGTATGAAACAGAGACTTCACAAAATGTATCTTGATGAGGTCCTGCAGAACCTTGCCAAAGAAGTAGAAATGAAAAACAATTTTGCTTTTAATCAGACTGCAGATCCTGTTTCTGAATATCATCCACAGAGCAGGGTTGTTTTCATCATCAACTTAATGCCTATTAACAGAGTCAATTCCAGTCTCCCGCTTTCCACCAACTAAGTAGGATTAAAGAGATGAGAGAAGCTTATGGTTAATAGAGAACTGTAGATGTTAAAAGGTTTAATCTATTAATATAGGACAGCATTTCCCAAAGCGTGTTATGCTGAATGCTGGCTCTCTTAGATGTTCTGCTGGAAAAGCATTTCAACGTCAAGTTTAGGAAATGTAGCATAAAAGATCTCTCTTTTCTTGATTATTAACATGCATTAGGACATGCATGCTCTGAGGATTCCTGCAATAAAACTGGTTAAGTAGGGGCCCAGTGCGGTGGCTCACGCCTGTAATCCCAGCACTTTGAGGCAGGCGGATCACAAGGTCAGGAGATCGAGACCATCCTGGCTAACACGGTGAAACCCCGTCTCTACTAAAAATACAAAAATTAGCCAGGCGTGGTGGTGGGCGCCTATAGTCCCAGCTACTCAGGAGGCTGAGGCAGGAGGATGGCATGAACCTGGGAGGCGGAGCTTGCAGTGAGCTGAGATCACACCACTGCACTCCAGCCTGGGCAAGAGAGAGAGACTCTGTCTCAAAAAACAAAACAAAACAAAACAAAACAAAAAAAAAAACAAAAACAAAACCACAACTGGTTAAGTAGGTTAAATCAAGAGTTTCTCAAAGTCATATCATCAGGGAAGCTTTTCTTCCTTTACTTAACTGTTAATATCCCAAGAAAATAATAATTCATAGACTGCAGTTTAGGAAAAACTGCTATAGACAAGGCAGAGGAATGACAGGGTTTTAAGCAGGGGAGTAAATTATGTTTTGGAATAATTATTTCGGAGAGGATCAGATCTTTCTTCCCTAATTTTTCTCATTTTAGGAAATTACACCATATTCCATCTATGTGCTCAAGTCAGAAAGACAGGAGCTATATCTGTCATGCTGATAACTTTTTAAAAAATTATAAAATGCAAGCATGATTTTAAAAATCATTCAAACAGTAGAGAGGATAGTATGAAAAGCAAAAATCTCCTCCCTCCTTTCTCTCACCCCATCCCAGCAGCCAGTATACTTTTCCAGAGGTAATAACCAGGGCGATCAGTTTTTGTTTTATTTTTCAGTTCTTCTTACGGCATCTCTAAATCATATGCATCTGAGCCTACTGTTTTGGATTATAAGCATTTAGCAGTATCTATTAAATGAATTCATTCCCACTCTTCTTTCTGCCTCTCCCACCTCCCATATCCAATCTATCACCAAGACATGTCAATCCAACTCTCAAAACACACCTCAAGTCTGTGCACTTCTCTCCCTCCTCCCTGACAGTACTCTCACCTGCGCTCTGTCCTCCCTGGTCTTCCTACCTCCAATCCTTTATCCCTCCAGTTCACTCTCCTTATTGTCTACATAAAGAGTTCCTCAAAATAGAAATTAGAACAGTCTCTGGCTTAAAAGTCTTCAATGGCAACCCACTCAAATTAAATTCAAGATCTTTATCAACACCTGTGAATTTGGGCATGACCAGCCACCTGCTCCCCTCTCCAACTGGTGTCCTGCCTCTCAGCAGCGCCCTCACCTAAGTGCAGTCACAAGGCCTGCCTTCTCTCTGTCCCCTGAATGCTGCAAGCGTTTTCTCTTAAGACCTTCCCATTTGCAATTTCCTGTGCCCAGATTGCTTTTTCTCTTTGTTGATTTTTTTTTTAGTCAAGTTAACCCCTATGCTTCTTTCCAATAGCAATTGAAATCTTTCTTTGTCAAAGAGCAAGCCTTCTCAGAACACCAAAACGGAGTCAGTGCCCCTGATTTTTTTCTTACAGCATTCTGTTCTTCTCCACGCTACTTCCCACAATGTATTCCTACATGTTTATTTTGTAAATGTCTGTAGGTTCCAAAAAAATAGGGAACACATCTGCTTTGTTCAACACCAAATGTGGAAAAGCTGGCACAGTGTCTGGTCACAGAATGGGCCTAATTATTTATTACATGAATGAAGCTAGCTAGAGGGAATTTCTGTTACAGACTTATCTCCAGCCTTTTCCTTACATAAAACTTCAGCTGCATCCAGATATTCCTTTTCTGCACACTTCCCACCCCAAAGTGCCACTGTGGTCCCTGGGCACCCAAAAGTCTTGTTTGTTCATCTCTGTTGCAGAACTTTAAGGGCTATCTCTAAGGGCCTTTCCTCTTATGCTTCCCTCAGCATTTCAGCTTATTTTATTCTCTTCTTGGGAATTAATTGCACTTATTTTCTGCACCACTCATTTGGTGCCAAATCTTCTATTGCCTTGTAACTACTTATTTGCTATTTTAAATTAATACCTTATATTGACATATTTGTCTTACTAATGATGTCATAAGTTTACTGAATACAGGAACTGTTACTTTGTATCCTAAAGTACACTGCATGCCCCTGCACAGAGTAATTGCATGAAGAACGAATCTCCATTCATCCCTTCTAGTGCCATTAGAAGACCTTAATAAAGGAGTTTGATCAATTCCCTTTCACACTATTTTATTCCTCAGTGGTTCTGAGTGTATTGCCATCATGCTAACAAGGACAGCTGGAATAAAGATAAGTTTTGAGGTCAGAGAGTAGTTAAGGGAGGAGTCTGGGGACAGAGGACTTGCCTGTTTTCTCAGTTCCTCTTTAAGAGGCACCAGAGTTACAAAAGGTCACTAGGTGTATTTGGCAAGAGACTAGGTGTACTTTAAATTGATTTGGCATTTCCTAGGATATTTTAAAGGATGACTTGATCAAACTTTTGAACTTACAGATTTTTTAAATTAAATGAAACAAAAAGGATTACCCCCTCAAAAAATTTCAGTCATTGGCTCATTTTCTCACCGTTCGACGTTTGGATGAATTAGACCCAAACATTAATTTAATTCAATAACTACCTTTGGGATCCAAGAAGTTATTCTGCACCTTTAGTTGAAAATTCTAATTTTGTCCAAATAATGATATTTCAGGAGTATTTAACACACTGAATACTTGCCTACTTTTTGTTTTATTTTCCACCAAACTATAAGGGTCAGAAAGGTTCTACAGTCTTTTCAGTGTGCTCAATCAACCTTCCTCAAGCTACTTCTGAAAAATGGAGGGCAAAGTTTAACCCTTCAACAACAGCATATTTTTTAGAAAAGAACTATTCAAAGCAAGTAGACATTTTTTACAATTATTACCTCTTTTTACTTAGAGATAGTACAACCTTGAAAATAAAGAAAGTAGAAGGTGTCATCTGTTGTCTTTATTTTGTCAATGAGGAAACTGAAATGTAGGAAGACTGAATGACATGTCCAAGAGCACCTAAGTGAGCAGCAGATAAATTTCAGGTTTGTACTGGAGAACTCACCGTAAATGTGGGATTGCTGTTCAAACACTGTTATTTGGTTAGTTTTAGACCAAGTTTGTCAGCCTGGGGTCAGGATATAATTTGTAGGACCCAGTTCAAAATGAAGATCCAGAGCCTCTTTGAAAATTATTAAGCCAGCAGACGGTGATAGCAGAACATTACCAAACGCAGGGCCCTTCCAAGTGCAAGGCCCTGTGCGGTTGCAGTTTTGTATTTCCATGAAGCTGGCCCTGCCTGGAGCCTCTGGACATCTAGAATGTAGGAGGCTGGGCATCAAGGAGGCCATGAACTCCTGAAATTGTAGGTGGAATTTTGTGTTAATATGTATGCATTTGTCTTTCATATTCCATAGCTTTCATCAGATTCTCAAATTGGTCTGTTACCCTCTTCAAAGGTAATACATGTTCCAACAGAGCCTACAATGTCAGAATATATTGGTAGGGACAAGCATGCTGGTGGTCACTGTGCATGATCCTTCACAAGGCTATATTTGTGAATAAGTAAGTTTTCATGAGTGCATGGGAATTAATGCAAAATCAAGGAATTCTTAACACTGATGAGACGTTGCCAGAAACAAATGCACTCAAGAATGCTTCTTCCTCAGGAGATAGGAAAGCAGATGGTGAGATGGTCAAGATGATCATATGCTTTATAAACCCCAAAGTGATACCCTAATATAAGCCATTTTATTTATTTTCAACCTCTCCCTCTTCCTCTGTAACTGGATGTCACATTTTAGCTTCCTTTAAGGAAAGCATATTTTCATTTACTTTAATTTCTCTAATAGCTGTATGATTTACCAACTCATGGTGATTTACATCTCTTTTATAGATAATTATAGCCCAATGTTAGAAATAGGAGTAAGTGAGGAATTTGTTAATACAGCAGGGGCAGAAGCAGCCCTCAGAATTAGGAAAAGAGTACTGTAAAGACGTGGATCCTGAGAAATACTACCGATGAAATATTGACACACGCGTCGGCCTGGTAAAAACCTCATGCCCATCTCCTAGAAGTCTCACACACAAATATCCCTTCTGCGGAAATGCCTGCTCTTGCAGTTTAGGTGGCTGCCTTAAGTTTTTATTTAGTCCCTTGCCCCCCTTTCTAAATTTTGGACTAACTACACCTGTCAGTCAAATCTCCAGCTCTTATAAATGGGAATATACAGAGATGGGTAATTGAAACCACGGGGTAATTCTCAAATTTCCATTTGCCCAGTGTCAAATTTCTCTCAACCTAGCAAACAGAAAAGCACGATCTACCTGAATTCCCTGGTCACTTTTCTGACCCTACTCTGTCCTTGCTCATCACATAATGGGGGCACTTTACGTGATTCAACGAGTGGCCAAACTCTTGCAGATCCAGCGATAACCTTGGTTGCTCACACCACATAACTCAACCGTGGAAGAAATGGTGCCACCGCTGGCAGGTGAGACGCCTTCCTCTGGTTTGTAGGATACGATTGGGCATGAATTGTTTTAATAGACTGAGACTGCCCCGCGGGTAATTCTACTTGCTAGGAGTGTTGAGCAGCCTTCCTGCAAGCCATCTACTCCAGTTGGGAGTCTGCTGGCACCTGCTCCCCTGCACACCCCCAGGATGCCCAGGCCGCAGGAAGATGTCTAAAACTTCCTACAGGGGCAAAGCCCGCCCTGGCCTCACCAGTCGCCCCAGCGCGCGTCAGCCACGACCCCGGCGAGGCCCAGGTGGGAGGGTAGGGACGTGCGCAGCCTGGGGTGGGGCTGGGGGCTGGCGAGGACCTGCTCCGGGGACCAGGACTGGGCGCCCTGGCGGTCCCAGGCACCGGGAGGGGACCTAGGACCGCTGCCGTTTCACACGTGGCCCCGGCATTTTCGCGCTCTCTCCAGGAATAGCCCCAAGGGCCCAGGAGGCCTGGGTGGGACTCGGCCCCGCGCCTCTCTTCCCGGGTCCCCAGTCCCCAAGGCGCGGCCCCCCACATTAACCTTGCTGGGTCCTTCCCGGCTTTCTGCCCTTTGCAACCCCCGCGCGCCCCACCTTGGCGGGCTCCGCCGACGCCAACCGCGCGTAAACGGCCGGTGACGATTGGGGTGCAGCCGGGGGCAGCTTCAGGGGGCAGAGCCTCCGCAAATGCTTCTCTCCTCCCACCCGGCCTCACACCCACCCTCCTCGAGGTCCCGCCGGGAACCGCCCCGCCCTGCGAACCCAGCCGAGCCCTCCCTCCTGGGCCACCCCCAGTCCGGTCTCTGCTTTTGGAGCGCGTGGGCTCTGCGAGCGCCAGGGCTGGGGACCCTGGAATACCTGTTCCTCCAGCACGAGGATGGGGTCCAACTAGTGGTCCTCTAAATCCTGCTCCTTCCCCGAGGCTACGGGAAGCGCTCCAGCCACAAGGAAACGGCTCCAGTCTTTCGGCTCCCAAACGTGACACTCTATATATCCGGCTCGGAGACTGGGTGTGGGGCGGGAGGAAACCACCCTCCCTCCGACCTTCCCCGGCTCCGCCGCTGCCTCGGCACTGGGCGCGAAACCGGCGGCAGCCTCAGCCCGGGGCGGGAGGAGGGTGAGGGGCCAGCGAAGGCCCTACAGGTCGCGGGGGCGACAGCATCGTGGGCAGGGCGGCCGCGCGCGCAGGCCCGCCCCGCGCTTCCATTCGTTCAGCACCAGCGGATCCACTGGCTATGACTCCCGCATTTGTGTGGTTTGGGGGAGGGGAGTTGGTTTTGGTTTCGGTGGGTTTGGTTTGTTTGTTTGTTTGGGGCTTTTGTTTTGTTTTGTTTTGGGTTTTGGGGTTGGTTTTTTTCTCCATTTTTTAATCAGTGGGCGAGGGGACAAGGAAGCTAGAAAGGCGCCCCTCTCTGGTGTGGGAAAGGAGAACTCCCACACCGTGAAAGGTGGCGGGGTAGGGGGGTGGAGGGAGAGACCGAGACAGGAGAGAGATTCAAAGGTTCTAGTCTGAACTGAACGCTTGGGGGACATACCTTTCCCCACCCACCCTAGCAGAAAAGGCAGCCAAAAATCCCAGTTTACTCAGCTTGACTACACTGCACATCCCGTGGGAGGGATGCTCTTGTATCTGCTAAAGACATTGCGGAGGCGCCCTGCAGTGACCCACGAACGCAGTGGCTTTTTAAAACCCAAGGGCGTGAGGGTGGAGGGTGATGCGAGGACTTCAGGTGAGGCTTCCTCACACTCGGGGTTTGAAGGGCAGAAATCCGGCTCTGCCTGCCTATGGTGGGGTGGGGGTGGGTAGGAGACTAGAAAGGATCAGAGATGGGGGCCGCAGAAACAGCAGTGAGCCAGCTGTGCTCAGCAGCACTTCTCCGGACTTAAAAGAAAAAAAGATGTTTCATTTCTTAGCCTGGTAGCTTTTTTGGGATTTGGTCATTGTTAAATTTTAAACGGAAAAACAAGCTGCCAGGGAAGCCTTGTAGAGGGATGGACAGGCACGTGAGTGGAGCCCTTGGCCTCAACCAGGAAGTGCTGAAAAACGGCCAACGCCCATCCTAATTCCCTGGACAATGTAGGAGGTAAATTTCCAAATAAATATGGTGTGTTAAGAAAAATAGAAAAGAAATATTGTCCTATAAGCTGTTCTGATTCTCCTCATTATAACAATCCACATGCAATTAAAGAAATAAAATTTGACTTTTGAAAGTTAGAATTAAGGAGTGATTTCATGAAATTAAAATAATAACACCCATCTTGAATTCTCTACTACTGGGCTCTTTAATGAAATGTGTTAAGCTAAGTGTAGCCTAAAGGCACTGACTAATTTCCTCTGGTGACCGCCTGAATGCAAGAGACAGAAAAAAAGTTACAACCAAATTTATAGTATTTTTCGTTACCCCTCCCCTCCTCAAGAATAAATTTGAATGTATCTTCAAAATGTGTGTGACAGCACTTCAAATGATAATGTCAAATGCTGGTGAAAACGTATAGAAATCACTTAACAGATAGCAGATGGAAGGTAAATTGTAATCACGCTTTTGTTGGAAAGCAATTTAGCAACACATTCCCAAGGTGTTCAGTAACGAAATTTTTTCTTGTTCTGGACCTAGATTCCCATGTCTTACAATGTATTCAAAGGAGATAATCCATAAAAGAGAAATGCCGCATGTACATAGTTGCATATTTATTACCGAGTTGTTTATAAAGTAGGAAATTAAAAGCATACTTTCAGTGGGATGTTCATAGATAAAATACAACATTAATTATAGATTACAAAACCACAATTTGATTATCACCATTTAAAACGCTATTCATATATGTAGAATGTATTAGTTTGCTAAGGCTGTCATAAGGATGCACATAAACTGGGTGGATTAAACTATAGAAATGTATTATTTCATAATTCTGGAGGCTAGAAGACCAAGATCAAGATGTCTGCAGGGTTGGTTCCTTATGAGGGCTTTGAGAGAGAATTTTCCATGATGCTTACCTACTTCCAGTGGTTTCTTGTTGGCTTGTAGACACATGACCCCTGTCTCCTATAATCTTCATATGGCATTCTCCCTATGTTCATGTCTGTGTCAAAATTTATCCTTTATAAAGATACCAGTCATATATGATTTAGAGCTCACCTTAATGGCCTCATTTTAACTTTACTAATTAAATTTGCAACAACCCTATTTCCCAATAAGGTCACATTCTAGAGTACTGGGAGTTAGGACTTCAATATGTGAAACTGGCAGGGGCGGAGAAGAACGCAGTTCCACCCATAACAGATAATAACAAAAAGAGGCAATGTAGTGGGTTGAATAGTGGCCCCAAAAGATATGTCCTGAGGCAAATCCCCAGAATCTGTGAATGTGACCTTATTTGAAAAAAAGACTCTATATTTAACTAAGTTAAATATGTTGAGATGAGATCATCCTGGGTTATCCAGATGAGTCCTAAACCCAATGGCAAATATACTCACATGATAAAAACAGAGGGAGATTTGAGATACACACACACTGGAGAAGGTGATGTGAATATAAGGCGGAGACAAACTGGAGCCACGTGGAAGCCAGAGAAGCCAAGAAATGCCAACAGCCACTAGCAGCTGGAAGGGGCAAAGAAGGATTCTCCCCCGGAACCCCTACAGGGAGCATGGCCTCAATCTTAATTTCAGTTTGCTAACCTCCAAAATCATGAGAGAATAAATTTCTGTGTTTTAAGCCACCCAATTGATGTTAACTTTGAAAGGAGTTAGCCAGCTTGCTTTAGGCAGACAGTAAGGAAGGGTCCCCAGAGAACCTCCAACCCATGTTTTGTGCAGATAAGGGAACTTGCATAGAGGACTTACCTAAACATGCCTTCAGAGGACTAAGGACCCACATGCACACTGGAAGAATGGGGTGGAGCTACCAGGAATTTGTGCCTTATACAAATAGGGAACTCAGCCTTATCAGCTTGTATGTAAAACCCCTTGTATTCAACTGTAAAGGGGGCAACTAGGAACCTGCTTTCAGGACCCCCTCTTTGCTTAGAGCTTTCCTTTTACTTAATAAATTCTACACCACTCACTCTTTGAGTGTCTGCATGCCTAATTTTTCCTGGTTATGAGACAAGAACACAGATCTAGCTGAGCTAAGGACAAAAAAATCCTGCATCAGTTTGCGTGCTCGCCTGGGATACCTGGAGAAAGAGTAAACAAAGACTGTCCCAAACCTTTCTCTTTCCTTTCTGTGCCTTCTTGTCCTCAGACTTTTTCTGAAGGCAGATGCAGCACGGAACCTCTGGTGAGCCAATTAAGAATGAATGGCACAGCTACAGAGGACAGGATGCTGGAGAGGAACCCGACACCACCCCTCCATCATTCTTGGGGGTTGGGAATGTCGGCCTCGTTCCAATCCAATCTTTTCTATGGCATTTTCCTTCTTTTTTGGGGGATTGTCACGGTGCCTATCTCTTCTTTTATAATGTTAAGGGTATTATTACACGCTGCACAGATATTACTAGGTAGAGTGAGCCTTTGGCCCAGTCATCAGATATGCAATTCAGAACAACGTGATTTCTGTTCGTTCTTACAGGCATTCCACACCCCCACCTCAATGGTTAGGGGTGTACATATGGGACACACAGGCAAGCAATGACTCCCTGACCACCCCCCCCATGCCCCCTGCTGGGGCACATGGCCAAGTTGGCCACATGCGCATGCTCTGTCCAATGGCCAGGCAGGGCAGGAATGAGCCTTGGGTCCCAAGGCAGTCTCGGAGGCCAAAGTCCCCACACAGCTGGCTGGAGAGCTGGCCAGCGTTTCCCATTCACTGCCCCCTCCCGCCACATGAAGTCTTCCTCCCCTGGCTGAGCCAAGAAGAGGGTTCAACAATTAAGAGTTTTTCTCCCTGTTAGAAGAACCCATTTGCATAAAGCAAGAGGTTTTTTTCTTCCTTTTTTTCCCCTGCCCCAAACCATCCTCCCCACCCTACACTTAAGCTATTTTATTTTCCCCCTTTTCTCCACCATGTCAGGAGGTAGGTTTCTTTTCCTTTCGGACGACATCTTATTAGGCCCAGACCCCTAAACACGAGACACTCTTTTCTCTCCCTCGTTTGAGGAGGAAGCAGCTCCACAGCTTTTCCTTAGCATGATGAATTCCTGCCAATTAGGCCCCCTATCATTTCATGGATGGAGGTCATGCTAGTATCCATGGCATAAATGAGGTCTAGGGAACTCAAAGCTTACCAAAAACAGGGAGGAGGCAGCACATGGCTAAATGCAGGTAATTATCACCACCTAGGCCTCCCTGTTAATATGGGGGGAAAAGCAGCATTGGCACCCATGGGCAGCACCCTGTTGAGGTTACTGGGACTTGGGGATATGAAGATGGAAGAAGGAAGGGGGGCCTCTTCTCTCTCTCCCTCACATACCCTGGATATTTCGCAGAAAGAAAAAAGGACTAGGGACGCCTTGTTCCCCTCTTCCTAGATGGGTAACCAATAGTTTTCAATCTATCAGGAGTCTTGAATACCTCCTGAATCACTGGGACTCCTCTGGAAAAAAAAAAAAAAGAGATAACTTCTTTTTTCTTTTTCCTCCTCTGTCCTCTCTTCACAGATGGGTAATTGTGTCCCTGTAACACAGGACGCTTTCCTCGGATGCATCCCCCAAACTGGGAAAAATTAGTTTCCTCAAACCTTAAACTGCTTGGCTTAAAATTGATCTTGGAGGAGGGGAACCCAGAAGGCTGACATGCTGGCAAAAAGTAAAAGTTCTTACCAGTCAGACTTTTGGCCTGTCTCTCCCTGTGCAAACTGGTAACATAAATGGTAAAGGTCACTGTTTACATCCTCTGTAACATTTTGATTAATGGAAAAAAGGATTTATGAGGCCAGTCTTGGGCTATAGGCAATCTGGTGAGCGTTGTGTGTGTCTTTCTGTATGGTTTTGTCACATGGAGGAATGCCTTAGGATAGAATGCAGGCCTAGGACCCCAAAAAGCCCGCTGTTCAAGCCAGCCCAGCAAACTGGTCAGTAACGAGCTTTGGTGCAGGTCTCCATCTTGTTTTACATCCTTGGGAGCTTGATCTTGTAACCACATGGTAGTACTTTCTTTTGGCCTTTGCCATTTTACAATGGCAGTGCAGGTTCAATCCTGGCTTAGGGGATGGATACTTTCTGGTTAATATCTGTGTTACTTTGGCCATTTGCTGATTCTTTTTCTCTCCATGAATAACTTCTGGCTTCCTTTGTTGAATCATTCTTTCTCTCAGCTACCTTTAAAGATTCTAGATTTTGTAGAAACTGCTTACCACCTCTTTGAAAATACTTTGTACACTCACGGTCAAGTCATAACCTTAATTGAGGCTTGTTATTTTCACCTGTTTCACTTTTGGTAAAGTTCAAAAGCTAGAAATATTGGCTACTTGGCATGGCTAAAGTTGGGTACTAAGGAATTTAAAAGGATTTTCTTAAAGGATGCTCAGCTTAATTGAAAGTGGATATCAAAGTTATAGGTATATTTTAAAGGCCTTTTTGTTTTTCTCTTCCTGGATCTTGTTTTTCTGGAAAAAGGTGTTTTTCTGTCAACTGAATTATTTTTCCCCATTTTGTCTTGCCACTATTTATGCATGCAGGAGAGGCCCTAAGGTAACTTCTGAGGGCATGGGACTTGGCGGTAAAAACAGAGAAGGTGCTGTGGACCCCATTTTCGGAAGAAAACTGTTTTCCTCACAGAATCCCAGGAATTGAAAGCTGATGGATACCTCTCAAAATCTGTTTTTGTCTTCTGGCTATGCCTGTTTATTAGGCTGTAGAAATTGCATGCTCTCCTAGCGGTGCTTTTGAAAGCCTCCATCCTGAGGCCAATAATCCAATTATGAGATTGGCAAATGAAAAATCTTACAATTACTGTATCTTCTTCTATCTGTCTGTATAGTTATATATGTGTTATATGTGTGATATTTATAAAAAAGAGCTCTAATTGATTAGCCTAAAGAAAAACAAGTGCTTAGACCAAATATTTTGAAGGAAAAATAAAAGCTGTAATGCCTTTTAGTTCACGTGACTTTAATCTTTGAGAAATAAAAACAGTTTTAAAGATAATTGGTAAAATACAAATGTCTTCAGAATGTAAACAAGTGGTCTAAATTATGTGGGTTAGATACTAGGTTTGCGAAATGTTTTAAGGTTATAAACTACTTCTTTGTTATTTGAGAACTTTTTGACCTGCCTGCTTTACAATTTGGTAAGGCTGAGGACATATGGAATTAACCACACCCTTAACTATACTGGAAAGAGTCAGATCTTATCTGTGCCTACTACATAATTTAAATAACCAAGTTTTACACTAAAATTAAAAATTGCTAAGAGTTGCTGTTATAACATGTAATTGAGACTACTGAAAATAGACTTACATGCAATGTGTGTAAACAAAGTAAAATATGTTTTTAGTAAAAGATAAGAAGACAAGGGAATGTAAATTTTTGCCTAGGGTTAAAGGATTGTTTTGAATTAGACAAGATAAAACTGAAGGTTTAAACAAGTGGAGAAAGGTTTATAAAAATGATCTTATAAAAGAAGCTCTATGTGTAACATATTGACTAACTTCAAAAGGGTATTATTTGGTTTTTCTGTAAATTAAGCATTGAAATAAAAGCACAACAAGGTTTTCTTGAGGCACTGACCTGCTCTTTCACAAAAATTTGTAGAGTTATAAAAGGATTACAAGAATTTCATCTGATGGTCAAACTGGTTAAGATTGAATAGAATTATCTATAAGGTTTCATTTAAAAATGGAGTTGATATTAATAGTAGACTAATGCAAGAGTAAAATTTGGCTTTCTCTCTTGAACAAGATTTTCATGTAATAGTAAAAGATAATGAAAAGTTTTTGCCTTTTTAAAAATTTCTGAGTCATCATTTTGGCTAAATAAATAACTTATGGTAATCTGCTATTCTATTTCATAATATCAGGTGTTTTGAACCTTCAACACATTTAACAGACTTCCTAAAGTCAAACTTCAGCTTCAAAAATTGTCTTTCCTAACCTCTAGCTTTTGGATGCTACAGAGGGCTCTTGGAGTATTCAAAAGAAAGGTAAACAGGATTATTTCACATGTTTAGTTACATGGGATTGCCAAAATAATGTTTAATCTTCTTCAGGTTATATTTCAGTGAATAATATTAATATATGTTCCAAAATTGTATGGGATTTTAAAAATTCTAATGTCTGAATATATGCTATCAATCATAATTAAGTTTATTATGTCAAGTTATTGTAAACCACAGAAATAACTACATTTCTTTGTCAATTGTGTTTTTGACTGTAACTACCCTGGATATTTTGTCATTCACAGATAAGTGTTGCCTTGCTTTAATCCTTTTCAAAAGATGGTTTATAATCAGCTATAGGACTTTGACAGGTGCTGTTAAATGTAGGTTTCTGATATCTCTGAAGATTGTAATATTGGAACAAAGGAAAAATGTACAGGACACCTGAAGAGTTGAAATGTTCATGGATATCAAACAGAATAAAAGTTAACAGAATGGACTGAACTAACAGAAAACTGAAGTAATCTTTTTAACCTTTGTGCTTAAATCCTTGCTGATACTTGTTTTGTTTCTCAGAATCAAGGAAACTTATTTTGAGCTATTTACAGTGTTTAATAATTGAGTAAAATATATACCTGTGAACAAAATTTCAAACATATTTGTTGCTCTCTGCCTGGCTTCTCCAGAATTTGAAAACTATTTGTGAGTATTCTTAGCTTATGGCAATATACTTATTTGCATTAGTGCAATAAGAATCCATTTTCTTTTGCAACAGGACACAATTGGAGAAACTGGATGTTTTACCAAGGCTTTGGCTGGAAGGATATGCTTCCCTTTAAGGAATCAAGTTTGACTTGCAGAGGCAATAAAAGCCCCCTGGGAAAACTGGCCTCATACTTTGTTTACACAGCCCCCATACAGGGTTTCTAAACTGTGGTGAGTAAAGAATGTCACTTTTTTTTTTTTTTTTTTTTGAGATGGAGTCTTGCTCTGTTGCCCAGGCTGGAGTGCAGTGGCATGATCTCGGCTCACTGCAAACTCCACCTCCTGGGTTCACGCCATTCTCCTGACTCAGCCTCCCAAGTAGCTGGGACTACAGGCACCCACCACCACACCCGGCTAAGTTTTTGTATTTTTAGTAGAGACGGAGTTTCACCATGTTAGCCAGGATGGTCTCGGTCTCCTGACCTTGTGATCTGCCCTCTGCAGCCTCCCAAAGTGCTGGGATTACAGGTGTGAGCCATTGCGCCTGGCCAAGTATGTCACTTTCTATCAGGCCCAGGAGCCCCATGCTTTTGCCACCTTAAGAAGAGAGGAATTTACCTAACTCATAGGTATTTGAGGGTACAAACCCATTGTTAAGCTCAGCTTTAAAAGGTCTTATCTGAAATTCCTTGTGGAAGAGAGTTCCATCAAAGCCAATTTAAAAGTGTCAGGCCTCTGAGCCCAAGCTAAGCCATCATATCCCCTGTGACCTGCACGTATACATCCAGATGGCCTGAAGTAACTGAAGAATCAGAAAAGAAGTAATATTTAAATGGCCTGTTCCTGCCTTAACTGATGACATTCCACCACAAAAGAAGTGAAAATGGCTGGTCCTTGCCTTAACTGATGACATTACCTTGTGAAATTCCTTCTCCTGGCTCATCCTGGCCTAAAAAGCTCCCTGACTGAGCACTTTGTGACCCCCACTCCTGCCTGCCAGAGAACAACCCCTCTTTTTCCTTTACCTACCCAAATCTTATAAAACAGCCCCACCCCTATCTCCCTTTGCTGACTCTCTTTTTGGACTCAGCCTGCCTGCACCCAGGTGAAATAAACAGCCTTGTTGCTCACACAAAGCCTGTTTGGTGGTCTCTTCACATGGATGCGAGTTAAATTTTGGTGCTGTGACTCAGATCAGGGGACCTCCCTTGGCAGATCAATCCCCTGTCCTCCTGCTCTTTGCTCCGTGAGAAAGATCCACCTACAACCTCAGATCCTCAGACTGACCTGCCCAAGGAACACCACACCCATTTTAAATCAGGTAAGCGGCCTCTTTTTACTCTCTTCTCCAACCTCTCTCACTATCCCTCAACCTCTTTCTCCTTTCAATCTTGGCGCCACACTTCAGTCTCTCCCTTCTCTTAATTTCAGTTCCTTTCCTTTTCTCATAGAGACAGGAGACGCATTTTATCCGGACCCAAAACTCCGGCGCCAGTCACGGACTCAGGAAGACAGTCTTCCCTTGGTGTTTAATCACATGGGGATGCCTGCCTGATTATTCATCCACGTTTCAGAGGTGTCTGACCACGCGAGGAAGCCTGCCTTGGTCCTTCACCCTTAGTGGCAAGTACCACTTTTCTGGGGGGCAAGAACCCCCCGACCCCTTCTCTCCATGTCTCTATCCCTTCTCTGCTTTTCTAGGGGGCAAGAACCCCCTGACTCCTTCTCTCCATGTCTCTACCCCTTCTCTGCTTTTCTGGAAGGCAAGAACCCCCCAGCCCCTTCTCCTTCACCCTTAGCAGCAAGTACTGCTTTTCTAGGGGGCAACAACCCCCCCAACCCCTTCTCTCCGTGTCTCTACTGCTTCTCCACTTTTGTGGGGGGCAAGAACCCCCCAACCCCTCCTCTCCGTGTCTCTACCCCTTTTCCACTTTCCTGGGGGCAAGCACCCCCCACCCCTTCTCTCCGTGTCTCTACTCTCTCTTTTCTCTGGGCTTGCCTCCTTCACTATGGGCAGCCTTCCACCCTCCATTCCTCCTTCTTCTCCCTTAGCCTGTGTTCTCAAGAACTTAAAACCTCTTCAACTCACACCTGACCTAAACCTAAATGCCTTATTTTTCTTCTACAATGCCGCTTGACCCCAATATAAACTCGATAGTTGTTCCAAATAGCCAGAAAACAGCACTTTCAATTTTTCCATCCTACAAGATCTAGATAATTCTTATTGTAAAATAGGCAAATAGTCTGAGGTGCCTGACGTCCAGGCATTCTTTTACACATTGTTCCCTCCCTAGTCTCTGTTCCCAATGTGACTCATCCCAAATCCTCCTTCTTTCCCTCCCGCCTGTCTTCCCAGTCCCAACCCCAAGCGTCGCTGAGTCTTTCTAATCTTCCTTTTCTACAGACCCATCTGACTTCTCCCCTTCTCCCCAGGCTGCTCCTAGCCAGGCTGAGCCAAGTCCCAATTCTTCCTCAGCCTCTGATCCCCCACACTATAATCCTTTTATCACCTCCCTTCCTCACACCGGGTCCAGCTTACAGTTTCCTTCCACAACTAGCCCTCCCCCACCTGCCCAGCAATTTCCTCTTAAAAAGGTGGCTGGAGCTAGAGGCATAGTCAAGGTTAATGCTCCTTTTTCTTTATCAGACCTCTCCCAAAATCAGTTAGCATTTAGGCTCTTTTTCATCAAATATGAAAAACCCAGCCCAGTTCATGGCTTGTTCGGCAGCAACCCTGAGACGCTTTACAGCCCTAGACCCTAAAAGGTCAAAAGGCCATCTTATTCTCAATATACATTGTATTACCCAATCTGCTCCTGACATTAAATAAAACTCCAAAAATTAAGTTCCAGCCCTCAAACCCCACAACAGGACTTAATTAACCTCACCTTCAAGGTGTACAATAATAGAGTAGAGGTAGCCAAGTAGCAATGTATTTCTGAGTTGCAATTCCTTGCCTCCACTGTGAGACAAACCCCAGCCATATCTCCAGCCCACAACTCCAAATGCCTGAACTGCAGCTGCCGGGGGTTCCTCCAGAACCTCCTCCCCCAGGAGCTTGCTACACATGCCAGAAATCTGGCCACTGGGCCAAGGAATGCCCACAGCCCGGGATTCCTCGTAAGCCATGACCCATCTGTGTGGGACCCCACTGAAAATTGGACTGTTCAACTCACCTGGCAGCCATTTCCAGAGACCCTGGAACTCTGGCCCAAGGCTCTCTGACTCCTTCCCCAATCTTCTCAGCTTAGTGGCTGAAGACTGACACTGCCCGATCGCCTCAGAAGCCCCCTAAACCATCACGGATGCTGAGCTTCAGGTAACTCTCACAATGGAAGGTAAGTCCGTCCCATTCTTAATCAATACGGACGCTACCCACTCCACATTACCTTCTTTTCAAGGGCCTGTTTCCCTTGCCTCCATAACTGTTGTAGGTATTGATGGCCAGGCTTCTAAACCTCTTAAAACTCCCCAACTCTGGTGCTAACTTAGACAATACTCTTTTAAGCACTCCTTTTTAGTTAACCCCACCTGTTCAGTTCCCTTATTAGGCTGAGACACTTTAACTAAATTATCTGCTTCCCTGACTATTCCTGGGCTACAGCCACACCTCATTGCCATCTTTTCCCCCAGTTCAAAGCCTCCTTCACATCCTCCCCTTGTATCTCCCCACCTTAACCCACAAGTATAAGACACCTCTACTCCCTCCTTAGTGACCGATCATGCACCCCTTACCATCCCATTAAAACCTAATCACCCTTACCCTGCTCAATGCCAATATCCCATCCCACAGCATGCTTTAAAAGGATTAAAGTCTGTTATCACTCACCTGCTACAGCATGGCCTTTTAAAGCCTATAACCTCCCCTTACAATTCCCCCATTTTACCTGTCCTAAAACCAGACAAGGCTTACAGGTTAGTTCAGGATCTGCGCCTTATCAACCAAATTGTTTTGCCTATCCACACTGTGGTGCCAAACCTATATACTCTCCTATCCTCAATACCCATTATTAATACCCTCAATACCCTCCACAACCCATTATTCTGTTCCAGATCTCAAACTTGCTTTCTTTACTATTCCTTTGCACCCTTCATCCCAGCCTCTCTTCCCTTTCACTTGGACTGACCCTGACACCCATCAGGCTCAGCAAATTACCTGGGCTGTACTGCTGCAAGGCTTCACAGACAGCCCCCATTACTTCAGTCAAGCCCAAATTTCTTCCTTATCTGTTACCTATGATGGCATAATTCTCATAAAAACACACGTGCTCTCCCTGCTGGTCATGTCTGACTGATCTCTCAAACCCCAGCACCTTCTACAAAACAACTCCTTTCCTTCCCAGGCATGGTTAGATACTTTCAACTTTAGATACCTGGTTTTCCCATTATAACAAAACCATTATATAAACTCACAAAAGGAAACCTAGCTGACTCCATAGATCCTAAATCCTTTCCCCACTCCTCTTTCCATTCCTTGAAGACAACTTTAGAGACTGCCCCCACTCTAGCTCTCCCTGACTCATCCCAACCCTTTTCATTACCCACAGCTGAAGTGCAGGGCTGTGCAGTCAGAATTCTTACACAAGGACCAGGATCGCATCCTGTAGCCTTTTTATCCAAACAACTTGACCTTACTGTTTTGTCTAGCCCTCAAGTCTGCGTGCAGCAGCTACCACCACCCTAATACTTTTAGAGGCCCTTAAAATCACAAACTATGCTCAACTCACTCTCTACAGTTCTCTTAACTTCCAAAACCTATTTTCTTCCTCACACCTGACACGTATACTTTCTGCTCCCTGGCTCCTTCAGCTGTACTCACTCTTTGTTGAGTCTCCCACAATTACCATTGTTCCTGGCCTGGACTTCAATCCGGCCTCCCACATTATTCCTGATACCACACCTGACCGCCATGACTGTATCTCTCTGATCCACCTGACATTCACCCCATTTCCCCATATTTCCTTCTTTCCTGTTCCTCACCCTGATCACAGTTGGTTTATTGATGGCAGTTCCACCAGGCCTAATTGCCACACACCAGCAAAGGCAGGCTATGCTATAGCACAAGCCACTAGCCAACCTCTAAGAACCTCTCATTTCTTTTCCATCGTGGAAATCTATCCTCAAAGAAATAACTTCTCAGTGTTCCATCTGCTATTCTACTACTCCTCAGGGATTGCTCAGGCCTCCCTTCCTTTCCCTACACATCAAGCTCAGGGATTTGCCCCTGCCCAGGACTGGCAAATTAGCTTTACTCAACATGCCCCAAGTCAGGAAACTAAAATACCTCTTGGTCAGGGTAGACACTTTCACTGGATAGGTAGAGGCCTTTCCCACAGGGTCTAAGAAGGCCACCACAGTCATTTCTTCCCTTCTGTCAGACATAATTCCTCAGTTTGGCCTTCCCACCTCTATACAGTCCTATAACAGACCAGCCTTTATTAGTCAAATCACCCAAGCAGTTTTTCAGGCTCTTAGTATTCAGTGAAACCTTTATGTCCTTTACAGTCCTCAATCTTCAGGAAAGGTAGAACGGACTAATGGTCTTTTAAAAACACACCTCACCAAGCTCAGCCACCAACTTAAAAAGGACTGGACTGGCCGGGCACCGTGGCTCATGCCTGTAATCCCAGTACTTTGGGAGGCTGAGGCAGGCAGATCACGAGGTCAGGAGATCGAGACCATTCTGGCTAACACGGTGAAAACCTGTCTCTACTAAAAATACAAAAAATTAGCCAGGTGTGGTGGCAGGTGCCTGTAGTCCCAGCTACTCCGGAGGCTGAGGCAGGAGAATGGCATGAACCCAGGAGGCGGAGCTTGCAGTGAGCCAAGATCGTGCCACTGCACTCCAGACAGAGTGCAGTGCAAGACTCCATCTCAACAAAAAAAAAAAAGGACTGGACAATACTTTTACCACTTTCCCTTCGCAGAATTCAGGCCTGTCCTCAGAATGCTATAGGTTACAGCCCATTTGAGCTCCTGTATAGACACTCCTTTTTATTAGGTCCCAGTCTCATTCCAGACACCAGCCCAACTTGAACTGCACCCCAAAAACTTGGATAGAGCCTAAAAATTCACCAACCAAGCAAGTAATTACGCTGAACCCCCTTGGGCACTCTCTAATTAGATGTCCTGGGTCCTCCCAATTCTTAGTCTAATATCTGTTTTTCTCCTTCTCTTATTCCATTTAGTTTTTCAATTCACACAAAACAGTATCCAGGCCATCACCAATAATTCTATACAACAAATGTTTCTTCTAACAACCCCATAATATCGCCCCTTACCATAAAATCTTCCTTCAGCTTAATCTCTCCCACTCTAGGTTCCCACGCCGCCCCTAATCCCGCTCGAAGCAGCCCTGAGAAACATCGCCCATTATCAATCCATGCCACCCCCCAAAAAAATTTTCTCCCCACCCCAACACTTCAACACTATTATGTTTTATTTTTCTTATTAATACAAGAAGAGAGGAATGTCAGGCCTCTGAGCCCAAGCTAAGCCATCACATCCCCTGTGACCTGCACATCTACATCCAGATGGCCTGAAGTAACTGAAGAATCACAAAAGAAGTGATATTTAAATGGCCTGTTCCTGCCTTAACTGATGACATTCCACCACAAAAGAAGTGAAAATGGCTGGTCCTTGCCTTAACTGATGACATTACCTTGTGAAATTCCTTCTCCTGGCTCATCCTGGCCTAAAAAGCTCCCTGACTGAGCACCTTGTGACCCCCCACTCCTGCCTGCCAGAGAACAACCCCCTTTTTTCCTTTACCTACCCAAATCTTATAAAATGGCCCCACCCCTATCTCCCTTCGCTGACTCTCTTTTTGGACTCAGCCCGCCTGCACCCAGGTGATTAAAAGCTTTATTGCTCACACAAAGCCTGTTTGGTGGTCTCTTCACACAGAGTGAAAAAAGGCCTATGTGAAAAATGATTATTCTTGCTATACTTTATGCAAATAACCAGGCCAACCATGAGACTAAAGTTTATTTTGCAAACAACTCAGTCCTATCATGATTTGTTTTTGACAAAAATGAGGACTGGAGAGAGAAAACTTATGTTTCAAAACTTACACACTTGTCATTAAATTCTAATCTCATCGTTTTTTTTTTTTAAGTTTCTGCCTACATTTTAGACTAACTCTGCTTATTCCTGTGAACCAACCAGTGGTCTCTGGCTGCAGCTCAGAAAAAACAAAAGGGATGGGTAATGTAAAAATCTGGATGAGTATTCTAGTTCTGGGCAATTATCCTGCAAATCCTGCCAGGTGGTATGAGTAAATAGGATGCCTATAACCAGGAGGTTTCTCTGTTAGGAAAATAAGATCAAGGGAGCTAACCAAAGCCGAGCCCCATGTACCGAAATCTTAGCAGGCATAACTATAGTCACCAGTTATCAGGTTGTGTTGACAGCCTAGGGATTTTTGAGCTGCCCTTACCCACCTTTGTTTCGTTTTGATACATGTCTTCTAATAAGCTAAATTGTTTCTTCTTACTTAGAGGCCATTAAACTTCAAATGGTGATGCAAATGGAACCACACATGGATGTGCCATTCTTCTGGGGACCCTTAAACAGACTCAGGAGGAGCCTGAGATTAACAATTTGTTTAAAACCCTGTCAGCAGGAAGCAGTTAAGAGCAGTCATCGCCCACTTTCCCCAACAGCGGCCTGAGTCTCCACTTCTGATGGGGGGAATGAAAGGAGTTAGCCAGCCTGCTTTAGGCAGACAGTAAGGGAAGAGTCCCCAGAGAACCTCCAACCCATATTTTGAGCAGATAAAGGAACTTGTACAGGGGGCTTGCCTAAACATGCCCACATGCGCACTGGGGGAATGGGATGGAGCCAACAGGAATTTGTGTCTTATACAAATAAGGAATCCAGTTCCATCAGCTTGTATGTAAAAGCTCTTATATTCAACTGTGAAGGGGGCAACTGGGAACCTGTTTTCAGGATCCCTCTTTTTGCTGAGAGCTTTCCTTTCGCTTAATAAATTGCATTCCACTCACTCTTCAAGTGTCCACATGCCTAATTTTTCCTGGTCATGAGAAAAGAACCCAGACCTAGCTGAGCTAAGGAGAAAAAACTCCTGCACCAGTTTGTTATGGCAGTCCTACAGGAAATTTGTCTTGGGTGGAATTTCATGTATTTACTTTTTTTTTTTTTTGTAGGAGAGTGATGTATGATTTCATACCATTTCAAGTAGGTATTTTGATAGCATTCTCTTAACATTCTTAGCCACTTTTGAAGGGATGAGCAACGGACATGCTAAAGATTTTATCATCTTCAAAACCAAACTCTCCAATAGGCCCAAATGCAGCTAAAACTGCAACAAGTTCTGATCTTTCTCAATGAGATCCATTGTTCTGGACCCTCATACATGGTGTGCATGCAACTCCTGTTAATATGAATTCAGTTTCACATTGGTTTGATTAAAGTCCGAAGGTTTGTTATCTCAAAAACAATGTTGCTGGCCGGGCGAGGTGGCTCATGCCTGTAATCCCAGCACTTTGGGAGGCCGAGGCAGGTGGATTGCCTGAGTTCAGGAGTTTGAGACCAGCCTGGGCAACACGGTGAAACCCTGTCTCTACTAAAATACAAAAAATTATCCGTGTGTGGTGGCATGCGCCTGTAATCCCAGCTACTCAGGAGGCTGAGGCAGGAGAATTGCTTGAACCCGGGAGGCAGAGGTTGCAGTGAGCCAAGATCATGCCACTGCACTCCAGCCTGGGCGACAGAATGAGACTGTCTCGAAACAAACAAACAACAACAACAAAAACACAATGTTGCTTGTGGTCAATGTTGAGAAGCAGATTATGATAACTGTCTTCTACTTTCAGTGTTCTCTCTCCCTCACTATTGCTCATTCAACCCCGTTAAACAAACGTTTCTTCGTAAATCTGCCTAGAGGTTCTCATTTAAGATGCAACATGCCTACAAAACATGCCATACCTCAAATAATATGTCAGATCATTCTAATGACACCCTAAAAAAAAAAGTGAATCTAGTGATACAAAGGAATGCTATCCTTCCCCAGTGCTATTTTTGGTTTTGTTTTGTTTTTTAAGATGGAGTCTTGCTGTGTCACTCAGGCTGGAATGCAGTGTTGCGATCTCAGCTCACTGCAACCTCCACCTCCCAGGTTCAAGTGATTCTCTTGCCTCAGTCTCCTGAGTAGCTGGGATTACAGGCGCCCACCATCACGCCAGGCTAATTTTTGTATTTTTAGTAGAGATGGGGTTTCACCATATTGGCCAGGTTGGTTTCATCAAAATCCTGACCTCGTGATCTGCCTACCTTGGCCTCCCAAAGTGCTGGGATTAGAGGTGTGAGCCACCACACCTGGCCCCCAGTGCTATTTATTTTAAAATAAGTACTGGTTCTGTTAATTGAAACAAAGCTTTGACTTTGATCTACAGTAGAATTCTAAAAATATGCTATTCTAGAACCAGAAAGCTCATGCTTTGGACTACTATTTTTCTTTATAGTGTTGGAGATTGTACATTATATATCTCATGTAAGGTCACCACGTTAGTTTTCTGTTGCTCTCTAATCACTTACCACAAACCTAGTGTTTTATAACAATTTCCTTTAATTATCTCAAAGTTCTGTTGGTCAGCTGTCCGGACATGGCACAACTGGTTTCTTTGCTTACAATGTGGCAATCACAATGTCAGCCCAAGGTTGTGTGATCTCTTTTGTGACTCTGGCTCTTCTTCCAGGCTCTTCATTGGTTGTTGGCAGCATTCAGTTCCTTGCAACTTTAAGGCTGATGTCCTCATTTCCTTGCTGGCTGTTGGCCAGAGGTTTCTTCCAGCTCTCAGAGACCATCCTCAGATGCTAACCATGTGCCATCTCACAATGTGGTTTCTTGTTTCTTTAAAGCTAGCAGAAGAAATTCTCACTTTTTCTCTTTAAATCTCTGACCCTCCCTGTTTAAGGGCTGACATCCAATTAAATGAGGCCTGCCTAGGATGATCTCCCTTTTAATTAACTCAAAATTAGCTGATTTGGAGCCTTTACTGTCATCATATAACATATGATCACAGCAGTGCAATCCATCATATTCACAGTGTCACCCCCTTTCAAGAAGGGACTAGACAGGACATATAAATTAGAGTGTGGTAATCTTAGAATTCTGCCTGCCATAGTCAGTTAGATGGGGGGATAGTAGCATCAGGAATACAGCAGAGTCTTACTTTGTGCTTTACTGAGGAGTTTTTTGCATAAGGAAAATTATTTTTCATTGGCCATTTTGTGAAGCAGGTAGTTATGGATTTTTACAGATTTTTTTCTTGTCTTTTATTCCCGTCTAGAGATATACATATCTTTGAAAGTAACACAATTTGTTTTCTGACAATTATAAAAGCATAACAGGTGAAGACTAAACCCAGGTTTCCTGATCCCGTGTGTGGTGCACTCTTAAGTTGGTGGTTTTTTAAACCTTGGGTTATAAACACCAAAGGTCTTTTGAGAATGCTCTTGAGAACATTAGGAGAATCCATACTGAGAATACAACATGGTTACCACTGAATTGACTAAAGGCATATTCTCTCTATTGCCTATTATGCAGACCTTAAAATGAATTAATTATAACTTTGTCAGTTGGATTGCACTAATTTCCATGAGGTTTAGCTTGCGAAGAAAGTAACAATATGAAAGACATTTATAATATGACCTTGTTGCCTTTAAACCATTGTCAAAAAACTTTCAATATGTTTATATATAGAGAGAAATATAGGTCTATCCCAGCACTTTGGGAGGCCGAGACGGGTGGATCACGAGGTCAGGAGATCGAGACCATCCTGGCTAACACGGTGAAACCCCATCTCTACTAAAAATACAAAAAAATTAGCCGGGCTTGGTGGTGGGCGCCTGTAGTCCCAGCTACTTGGGAGGCTGAGGCAGGAGAATGGCGTGAACTTGGGAGGTGGAGCTTGCAGTGAGCCGAGATCGCGCCACTGCCCTCCAGCCTGGGCGACAGAGCGAGACTCCGTCTGAAAAAAAAAAAAAAAAAAAGAAATATAGGTCTATAAAAGCATACAGAAAATCAGAAGGATACATACTTGATTATTAACATTATTTTGGTTGTTGGAAAAGAGGCACTAATGCATGGGGGTGGGGGAGTGAGAGAGGACTACCAGGCAAGGAAGAACAAAGAAAAAGACTGAAACACAATTCGAGGTATCATCTAGTTGTATTTATGCACATATGCAAAATTATATTTAAAAATTTTAATTAAAAAGTATGTTGGGAGGCACCACTTCATCCTAACCAGTATATAGCTGAACAAACTGAAAAATCAATCACTTTTCTTAGATATGTCAGAGAAGTGAGGTCACAGGGCAAACTGCTACCCTCAAAATTGGAGAGACAGATGGGCAGATAAGAGAATCACAACTTACCAGAGCAGAAACCTGTGTGGGAACCAGTGTCAGGGTAGGAAAACCTAAACCATAAATGATGAATTGCTGGAGGCTTGGTATTGACAAGTGTAAGAGCTAAAAGCTCCAGGGAGAAGACACCCCCAGAAACACAATTTTGTGAGTTCTACCTTAAGGACCTCTTTTCATATCCTCCTAGTAAATATTAAGGAAAAAATCCTCTCTTACTTAAAGCGCTGAAAGAAAAGACACACCAACTTCACATCCTGTGCCCTGTGATATAATCCTTCTAAAAAAGAAGGAAAAACGAAGACTTTCTCAGACAAATAAAAAAATGAGGGATTTGTTGCCAGTAGAACTGCCTTGAGGGGAATGTTAAAAGAAGTTCTTCAGAGAGAAGGAAAATGATATGGATCAGAAACTCACATCCACATGAAGAAAGGAAGAGCATCGGTGAATGAATAAGTGAAAATAAAACAAAACCTTTCATTTTCCTAGTCTTAACTGATCTAACAGATAACAATTTGTTTAAAATAATAGCAATCATGTATTCAATTTATATGCATATATATGCTTGCGTGTGCTTCTGTATACATGAAACAAATGACAGCAAAGATATAAGGGATGGGAGAGAGGAATTGAGAATATTTTGTTATTATAAGGTACTTACACTACCTGTGAAATAGTATAGTGATATTTGAAAGTGGATTTGGATTAGTTGTAAGCATATGTTGTAGACTCTAGGGCAATCACCAAAAAAAGTTAAAAAGGGAATATAAAGATAGGAAAAAACCTAGTGCATTTTCTGTGTTCACACACTGAGCACAAACCTTCTAATACCAGATGTGAGGGGGATATTCCCCATACACCAAGCAACTCTCCAGCAGACACCAACTGGGTGTCCTATAATTCAATTAAATTCTGACATGATCTCCCTGGAGTTAGAGTCATAGCCCATAAAGTTTCTGTGCCGCATACTGCCTCCCACTCCTAGATGCTAACAGTAGGTTGTCACCTCTACTTCTCACTGACTGGCTATAAATTGGGAGTTCCCAGGACACCCTCCTCTGGTTCAATTAATTTGTTAGGGAAGCTCATAGAACTAGGGGAAACACTTTCACTTTATTTATGTTTACTGGTTTTACTAATAAAGGATTTAATCAAGGACACAGATGAACAGCCAGATGAAGGGATGCATAGCGAGAGATCTGGAAGGGCCCCAATGCAGGAGGGAGCTCCTGTCTCCATGCAGTTGGGATGCATCACCCTCCAGCTCATAGATGTGTTTGACAACCCAGAAGCTCTCTGAACCTCATAGTTCAGGGATTTTTATAGGGGTTTTATCATGTAGGCATGATTGATTTTTAATTCCATGTCTGGCCTCTCTCTCCTTTCTGGGGTATGGAGAATGAAGCTGAAAGCTCTAAGCTAATCATGGTTTGGTCTTCCTAGTGACCAGCACCCATCCAGGAGCACACCAAGAGTTACCTCATTAAAACAAAAGATGCTCCTGTCACCCAAGAATTTCAAAAGAATTTAGGAGCTCTGTGTCCTATGCTTCGATTACTCAGGATATTATAGAAGTTTTAGGAGCTTTATGTCAGGAAACAAGATCAAATACCAAATATTAGAACAAAAAATTATCCTAGCACCCCTACGTACATATTAGAAACTCTATCTCAGGAATTGGGCAGAGACCAAACATTAGAAAAAAAAATTATCCTAGCATCTCTATTGCTCAGGAAATTACAAGGGTTTTTGGAGCTCTGTGCCAGGGACAGTAAACAGACCAATATATACATTTATTATTTCACAGGAGGTATAATTGATATACTAATAAGGGAGAGAAAATAGAATCATATAAAATGCTCGATTAAAACCAAAAAAGGCAGAAAAAGTATAGAAGACAAAAATAGGAACAAAGCACAAGGGTAACAAGTATAAAACAGTAACAAATATGATATATCAATATGCAGCTATATTAATAATAATCTTAAACATCAATGGTCTAAAAGTATCAATTAAAAGAGATTACCAGAGCAGATCAAACAAAAACCCAAATATATGTTGTATAGACAATCCATTTTAAATATAAAGACATATATAAGTCAAAGGGATGGAGAAATATATACCATGCAAACACTAATCAAAAGAAAGGGTATTAGCTTTATTAACTTCAGATAAAGCAGACTTCAGATCAAGGAAAGTTAATCAGGAACAGAGAGGGATATTAGATAATAATAATAATGTCACTACTACAAAAAGACATGACAATCCTTAACATGTTTGTGCCTAACAACATAGTGTAAAAATACATGAGGCAAAAACTGATAGAACTGCAAAGAGAAATGGAGGACTCTCCTATTGTAGTTAAGAGATTTTGACACTCCTCTATCAGAAATAGACAGATTTGGCAGGCAGAAAATAAATAAGAACATATCTGAACTCAGTAGCACCATCGATGAAATAAATATAATTGATATCTATGGACAACTTTATCCAACAACAGTACAATACATGTTCTTCTTTTTTTTTTTTTTTTTTTTTTGAGGCGGAGTTTCGCTCTGTCGCCCAGGCTGGAGTGCAGTGGCGCGATCTCGACTCACTGCAAGCTCCGCCTCCCGGGTTCACGCCATTCTCCTGCCTCAGCCTCCCGTGTAGCTGGGACTACAGGCGCGCGCCACCATGCCCGGCTAATTTTTGTATTTTTAGTAGAGATGGGGTTTCACCGTGTTAGCCAGGATGGTCTCGATCTCCTGACCTCGTGATCCGCCCGTCTCGGCCTCCCAAAGTGCTGGGATTACAGGCGTGAGCCACCGCGCCCGGCCAATACATGTTCTTCTTAAGGTCATATGGAACATTCACCAAGATAGAACACATTCTGGGCCATAAAATACACTCAACAAATATCAAGGTACAGAAATCATACAATGTCTGCTCTCTGACCATAGTAGAATTAAACTAGAAATGAATAATAGAAAGGTAGCTGGAAAATGCCAAGATACCCGGAGATTAAACAACACACTTCTAAATAACACATGGCTCAAAGAAGAAACCTGAAGAGAAATTTAACATTATTTCGAACTAAATGAATAAAAATACAACTGGGTAAAGTTTGTGGCATGCAGCAAAAGCAGTGCTTACAGGCAAATTTATGGCATTGAATGCATATTTTAGGAAAGAAGAAAGATCTAAAATCCCCAATATAAGCTTCTAGATTAGGAAAATAGAAAAAGAAGAGCAAATTAAATTCAAAATAAGCAGAAGAAAAAAAGGAATAAAAATTAGAGCAGAAATTAATAAAATTGAAACAGGAAATTAATAGATAAAAATCAACAAAACCAAAAGTTGTTTTTTGAAAATTGATATGCCACTAGCCAGGCTAAGAAAAGAAGAGCGCAGTTACAAATTATTTATATTGAAGAAGAAAAAGGTGTTACAATTACAGATCTTGTGGACATTAAAAGGATAATAAAGGAATATTATAAACAACTCTATGCCTATAAATTTCATAATCTTGGATCAATTCCTTGAAAGACAAACTTTGCTAAAATTCAAATAGAAAAATACAATCTGATAAGTCCTATCTATTAATGAAAATGAATTGATAATTAATAACCTTCCCAAACAAGAAGAACCAGGCCGAAATTGGTTCACCAGGGAATTCTACCAAACAGTTAATGAAGAAATTATATCCATTCTCAAAAGTATCTTTCAGATGATAGAAGCAACAGGAATAATACTTCCTAACTTATTCTATGAGGCCAGTATTACACTAATGCCAAAACCAGACAAAGGCATTACAAGAAAAGAGAACTACAGACCAATACTTCTCATGAACATGGATGCACAAGTTGTCAACAAAATATTAGCAAGTCAAATTCCACAATATATAAAAATAATTGTATATCATGACCAAGTAGGATTTATCCGAGGCACACAAGACTGATTCAACATTTGAAAATCAATTAATGTAATTCATCATATCAAAAGGCTAAAGAAGAAAAATCACATGATTATATCAATAGATGCAGAAAAAGCATCTGATGAAACCCAACACCCATTTATGATAAAAATTCTCATAAAACTAGGAATAAAGGAGATCTTCCTCAAACTGTTAAAGAACAGCTATCAAAAATCCTGTAGCTAACATCATACTTAATGGTGAGATACTTGGAACGTTCCCTCTAAGATCAGGAACAAGGCAAAGATATCCCCTCTCACCACTTCTTTTGAACATCATACTGGAAATCCTATCTAATACAATAAAATAAGAAAATAAAAGGTACACAGATAGGGAAGGAAGAAATAAAACTGTTCAATCAGATGGCATGATTGTCTGTGTAAAAAATTCAAAAGAATCTATTAAAAAATCTTTTGGAACTAATAAGCAATTATAACAAGGTTGCACCATACGTAGTTAATAGTCAAAAGTCTATCACTTTTCTATATACCACAAATGAACAAGTGGAATTTAAAAACACAGTAACAGTTACAATAGCAATCCTCCCCCTCACCAAAAAAGAAATACTTAGGTAGATGTCTAACAGATTATATACAAGATCTATATGAGGAAAATTACAAAACTCTATAAAAGAAATCAAAGAAGAACGAAATCAACAGAGAGATATTCTATGTTCATGGATAGGAAACTTAATTTGTCAAGAAGTCATTTTTTTCCAATTCGATGTATAGATTCAATGCAATCCAAATAAAAATTCCGGAAAGTTACCTTGTGGATTTTGACAAACTGAAGTTTATATGAAAAGGCAAATGACCCAGAAGAGCCAACTCAATTCTAAAGAAAAACAAAATTGGAAGAGTGACACTACTCAACTTCAAGACTTACTATAAACCTATAGTAATCAAGATAGTGTGGTACTGACAAAAGAAAAGACAACTAGATCAATGGAACAGAATAGAAAGCCCAGAAATAGACCATTATAAATATATCCAACTAATCTTTGACAAAGCAGCAAAGGCAATACAATGAAGCAGAGACAGTTTTTTTCAACAAATGGTGCTGGAACAGCTGGACATACACATGCAAAAACAAAACAAAACAAAACAAAACAAAAAACAAACCTAGACACACACCTACATCTTCACAAAAATTAACTCAAAATGAATTATAGACCTAAATGTGAAGTGCAAGGCTATAAATCTCCTAAAAGATAATGTAGGAGAAAACCTAGATGATCTTGAGTATGGTGATAACTTTTTAGAAACCACACTGAAAATGTGATTGCTGAAAGAAATAATGATAAGATGGACTTTATTAAAATTAAAAATTTCTGCTTTGCAAAATTTAATGTCAAGAGAGTGAGAAAACAAGCTTTGGGCCAACAGAAAATATTTAGAAAAGACAGGACTGTTATCCAAAATATAAAAAGAATTCTTAGAACTCAATAATAAGAAAATGAACAACCCAACTAAAACGTCCAAAGACCTGAACAGACACTTCATCAAATAATATATACAAATATCATGTAAGCATATGAAAACATGTTTGATATGATATGCTATTAAAGAATTTCAAATTAAAATGACAATCAAAAAATTACTATGCACCTATTAGAATGGTCTAAATCCAAAATCAGAAACCCTGACAACACTAAATGCTGGTGAAGATGTGTGGCAACAGGAAATCTTATTCACTGTAGATGGGAATGTAAAATGATACAGCCACTATGGAAGACTGTTTGGCATTTTCTTATAAGACTAAACACACTCTTACCGTATGACCTAGCAATCACACTCTGCTATTTCCCTAAACAAATTTAAAACATGTTTACTCAAAAACCTGCAGCCTATTCATAATGGCCCAAACTTGGAAGAAACCAACATGTCCTTCAGTAGGTGAGTGTATAAATAAGCTGTGGTACTCAAACTACATCAGACAATAGAACATTATTCAGTGCTGATGAGAAGAAATGAGCTATGAGAAGATATGAAGGAAACTTAAATGCATATTACTAAGTAAAATAAGCCAATCTGAAAAGATTATGAACTGTATGATTCCAAATATATGACATTCTGGGAAAGGTAAAAAAGTTGGAAATAGTAAAAAGATTAGTGGTTGCCAGGATCTGGGCTGCAGGGGGTTTGGGGGTCAATGAATAGACAGAGCAAAGAAGATTTTACGGCAGTGAAACTATTCTGTAAAATACTACCATAGTGGCTACATGCCATTATACATTTATCAAAACCCACAGAAGGTACAACACCAAGAGTGATCTCTGATGCGAACTATGGACTTTGGGTAATAACAATGAATCAACGTAGGCTCATTGATTATAAGACATGCAGCACTTTGGTACAGGATGTTGATAGCTGGAAAGGTTGTGGGTGGGAACAGTGAGTATATGGGGAACCCTCTGCTCAATTTCTCTGGTGCATGATGGTGATAAGCTGTGTGCTTTGGGGACAATGAGTATACAGGAACTCTGTACTTTCTGCTCAATTTGCTGTGAACCTAAAATTACTCTAAAAATGAAGTTTATTAATTAAAAAATAGAATGCTGCTGGAGAGGTATCAGATATGAAGAAGATATAAATGAAATCAAAGATGGTTAAAAAATGCATGAGTTCTAGAAATGAACATCAAGAAAAGAGACTATAGAATTCTCTAGAAAGAAGATTGGTGGCTCTTATTTCATTCTCCCCAAATAAAAAAAGTCCTTTCATTTCTAGGAGAAGGATCTTGTAATAGTAACTAGAATTAGGTTATGGAGCCACAGGAGAAATCTCCTTTATATGTCACTGGGTAAAAGAGTATGAGAGTGCCTATACTCCAAAGAACAAATAAATATGTACATGTTTTGCATCTCTATGAAGCCTTAAATCAGCAATGTTCCCTGTGTCCACACTGTAAACAAGAATATCATCTACCAGTAGAGAGAGTTTCTCCAAGTGTTGGAATCATAACCCAGTACATTTTGACTTTATTCTGATGGTTTGTCTATATCTGCTAGCAAGGTTTATGACTAGTCTAGATGTTTTAAAAGCCACAACACAAGCTAACAAACTACTATATAAAATACGCTCTACCCTTCTACCTTGACAAATGTATATTTAAATGACAAAATAAAAATATATGTATAAAGCCATGATGTTTATATGGCTAAAGTAGCCAAGGTTTCAGGATGACTGAATTTAATTATTATTGGGTGTATGTGAATGTTAATTTGATGGGCTGGCAGTGTTTGGGTGAAGAACAAAATAAAGATACACATAATTCACAAATTATTTCTTATTTATTCTAAGAAATCGATTTTTCTTGGCTACATTTAAACAAATCACTAATTTTATTATTAAAGCCAAGATAACATCATTATTTGTATTCTATTTGAAGTAAATGACCTAAAGGATTAAAGAATAAAGTAATATTTAAGAGGGGATAAAGTTTGAAATTATTTTCCCACAAATGTGGATTAAATTAAATGCAAAATTTGGAAAAATACAGATTTTAAATGTTTTAAATAATACATTTAAATTACATATTTGAATCAAAGGCCCAACTGCAAATTAAATTATTGAATATTGAAGTTTTAAATAAAACTTATTTATGTATGTGTTTATTTTTAAAGACAGTGCTTCATTCTGTTGCCCAGGCTGGAGTACAGTGGTGTGATCACAGCTCACTGCAGCCTTGAAATCCTGGGCTCAAGGGGTCCTCCCACCTCAGCCTCCCCAGTAGCTGAGACTGCAGGTGCACACCACCATTCCAGGGTGAATTATTTTATAAAAAATTTTGTAGAGACAAGGTCTTGCTATGTTTCCCAGGCTGGTCTCAAACTACTGGCCTCAAGGGATCCTCCTCCCTTGGCCTCCCACAGTGTTGGGATTACAGACAAGAGTCACTGTGCTGGGCCAAAATTATTTAAATAAAGCTAATTATATTTTATTGTTTTGAAATATCTAATAAATCTCATTAAGAAGTTTTATACAAATAAAAGTATTCTCAATTCTAGTGTTGAACTTTCTCTAGTTGCCAAGGCAAGAAAAAAAATCAAACCAGTAACATGCTTCAGTGTTACACTGAGATGTACATATATACAAATTTAAGAGTAATGTGGATTTCATAATATGAGCAATTTTCCTCAGCCATGAAAAGCAACTGTTGCAAATACTACACTGATATGGAACCAGAAATTAGAGCATAAAGGGAAAGGAAACATTTACCTTTCAGCACTTCAAAGAAAAGACACTTCATGCGTAGTTTACTGCGTTCATGGTCTGTGAGAGTCAGGATTTGATAATTATTTTATCTTTTCTGTTATCTAAGTGCTTCTGTGACTTAAATCCTCATCACATTTCAAAGCAGTGTCCCTCTCTGATGCAATGGCACAACCCAGAACCTTCACGTCATTCAGATGTAGTTGTATTGTGTTTTGAAGATGAATGGTAAGAGATATGTGGACAGTATTTTCTGGGACCTGAGTGGTATTTACCATGAGAGTGGATGTTTGGGATTATACGTCAGTAAAGTGCCAGCAATGAATGCTGGATTCTCAGTGACCTTGCATCCTTTAATAATTGTTTTTTGTGTGTGCAATTGTGATATGTAGAACCCTCTGGAAGGCAAATCCTAAGGAAGAAAACCCTTGCTTGGGTTCAAGATCACTCTTAGATTGTATAAGCAAAAGACCAATGAAGAGAAGTGCTAAGCATCAATACAAGATTTTCAACCATTACCCTGAACCTAAGAATTGGTAGAAGGGGCAGAGGACCAGGTAAGGAGGTGGGATGCTCAGCAGGTGTCTGACCTGGCTCAAGGAAGAGCATGAGTCCAATAGAATTTGGCCATAAGTATTGGGCCCAAATCATTACACAAGGACTGATAGGCACAACAGAATGGATATAAGAATTTTTTTTCTTTTAGAGGCAGGGTCTTGTTCTGTTGCCCAGGCTGGAATGCAGTGGCATGGTCATAGCTTACTGCATCATTGAACTCATGTGCTTGTCATCCTTCCACATCAACCTCCCAAGTAGCTGGGACTAGTGGCATGCACCACCACACCCAGCTAAGTTTTATTATTTTTTTTTGTACAGATGGGTTCTCACTATATTGTCCAGGCTGGTCTCAAACTCCTGGCCTCAAGGGATCCTCCTGTCTTTGTCTCCCAATGCACAGGGATTACAGGTGTGAGCCACTGCAGCCACTGCACGTGGCCAAGAATGGGTATAATATTAACTCAGGTTTTACTCTTCTTTTTGCTGTGGTCACAAGCAATGTGGCTTCCCCCCATGACCCATGATGGTGCAATGTGTTAAACTGGTGCAAAAGTAATTGCAGCTTTTGCCATTAAATGTAAATGGCAAAAACCGCAATTACTTTTGCACTACCACCTAATAGGTTTTGGTGAAAGAAGACCATTGGGTCATTCTTGTAAATGTATGATGGCTTGGATGACTGTAGTCATTCCACAGCACAAATTCTACTTAACAAATGACCCACTACACAATCTCATTCCCTTGGAATGGGGTACAGCTGGGATTCAGAAATCCCTCTCCTAATCACCTTCTATAATTATTTGGAATTTGAAAATAGGCGTTAAGGAGAAAGGGTGAAAGGGCTGGTTTCCCATCAACACGTGATTTTCAAGATATCTACATGTCACAATTAATATATTCTGGCTTGGGCCTGCATTTTCCAGGCCTAGAATTCCATTAGACAACTGGGTGCCAATACAAATTGTCATTTTTTTTGTTCTCCATTACTTAGGTCAGGACCAAATCTGCTATTAAATACATAATCACACAATTTTCTACAGTCTTCCCTTCATACATTTTCCAAGCAGAAAAAGTGAAGTTTTCAGCTTTGTTCTTAATAATTACTGTTTCATACTCTTCTGAATTTCATGTCTCAAAGGCATGTTATACCTCAGTAATCTTCTTTATCTCCATACATCATTACAAAAGCTATCTAACTCTAGTGTTTCACATATGTAAGTCAAAAGAAATCCTCTCCCTACCTACATCTCTCCAAATAAATACTATCAAGTTTGACTAAAAAATAGCTGTATTTAGCTGTATTTGTAAAATATTGAATATTAATCATCTTTGGGTAAAGATTCTGCCAATTCCCTCTTCAAACTTTCAATTCGTGAGTTAGATGTCTTCCTGTTCATGTGCTAGATATCATGAAATGTGATCCTCAATTTCCCTCTTTGAGAACTGCCCTGATACATACGGATGATCCTCTGTCATTACTCATTTATTTATTTATTCAGAGCAAATATTCATGGACCTTTTGCCACGTGCCAGGCAGGGTACCAGTTTTGAAACCAAGACAAAATAATTGAAATCCCTACCCTCTTACAGATTGTAGAGAGAGACGACAGACATTAAAGAACTAACCTCTCCTCCTCCCCACTGGCAAATAAACATCTGATAACCAATTGTGATAAGTCTTATGAAGGAAAACAACAGGATTCTATGAGAGAGAATAAAAGGGAAACTCAGTTTAGATCTGGGGCTTCAAATAACACCTCTGTGGAATGACATTTTGGTTGGTATTTAAAGGATGAGAAAAAGATTGAGTAAGCTCTAGGCAAGGAGAACAAGTCCAAAGGGGTACCTGGGTCTGTGGTTTGAGATGAGTTTGGACAGCAGACTGGCATCAGATGATCTAAGTCCTCATAGGTTTGGGTAGGATATGTGGACTTGATAAGAAGTAGGGCAGTACAAGGAAGGATTTTAAGCAGGATGTTAAGACCCTACCCTTGTGATCAGAGCTGACTGATCCAAGAGTGATCACCTGATTTTAGCTAGACCAATTAGATTTTTCCCTTCCAGAAATTTGGATTTCTGAACCAAAAGACACAGGCTCTGAAAGTTTCTGGAAGCTCAGTGTATTAGTCTGTTCTCACACTGCAGTGAGGAAATACCCGAGACTGGGTAATTTATAAAGAAAAGAGGTTTAATTGGCTCACAGTTCTGCATGGCTGGGAAACCTCATGAAACTTACAATTGTAGCGGAAGGCACCTCTTCACAGGGTGGCAGGCGAGAAAACGAGTTTAGAGCAAAGGGCGAAGCCCCTTATAAAAACATCAGATCCTGTGAGAACTCACTCACTATCATGAGAACAGCATGGGGGGGAATCGCCTCCATGATTGAATTACTTCCCACCAGTTCCCTCTCATGACATGTGGGGATTATGGGATACAATTCAAGATGACATTTAGGTGGGGGCACAAAGCCAAACCATATCACTCAGCAACTCTAGAGAATATTCTAGAAAATCCATTAATTTCTGTTACTAGTTGTCCGGAGCTTCCTAGGTTCTTACTCTTTCCTTAGGTTTTTTATTCTTTCCTGAATTCTAATAAATACATCAGTATTCCCATAAAAGTATTTCTTATTATTGTTTTTATTTTGCATAAATTAGGTAGATTTCATTTTTTAAATTTCAACAAAAACAATATAATTATCAGTTGAAAATTGTATGTAGTAGCTTTTATATTTTGTTAGTGCTTTTAAATGGCTAAACCAAAGGACAAATATATAAGAAAGAGGAGCTAAGATATAATAATTTTGACATTTCTGATCACCAGTTTTGCTTTGTTGAACTAAGAAGTTTTGGAGTTTTTTTTTTCACTGAGTGCACTGGGTAAAAGAGCAGCTCCTCTCAATTCATACACTTAGATCCTTAAAAACAAGGATACAACTCAACTAAATCTGGAAAGTTAAAAAAAGGTCAAAAATGGATAACTTTTCCTTTTCCCCTTTTTGTTTGCTTCAGTAAAATTTCTGATTGTATCAGAACAGTGGCATTATCAAAAGCCCCGAGTGTTTTTAAACAAGAAGTCACATGTCCTACAAGGACCTTCTGTTAACCCTAAATTGATAGGCTCTAAATTGGTTAGAATTAAGTTATCTTCAAATACAGCACTAAATCTTTGTTCTAGAGCAATTCTGTGCCCTCATTCTTGAAGAAATTTGAGCGTAGTGGGAGGAAAAGATGTCAAAAATCAAGCTTTTACCACTGTTAGGCTGAGTGAATTCTCCCTGGGAGATTATAGAAGACAAGTGTCTAGAATCAAAAAATAAATGTGAAGTGCAAAACAAAACACCACATTATCTCAGTTATTTCACCTTTAATTTAAACTTCATAATTTATGAAAATGTGTAAAAAAAAGTTTTCAAATTTAATATGATCTTGATGCAATATTATAAGAGAAGTAAAAAAATTCTAATTTATCTTTTTCTCTTTCCCTCTTGCTTGCTTGCTTTTAACCCTTGCTCTCATTATCTCTCTTTTCTCATCTCTAAAAATGGGAATGATAATGCTAACTTTCTAAACTTGCAATGAATATGAAATGACAAAAATGTAAGTAACAGTGAATAGCATAGTGGATAAAGTATAGTCATGTCTCAATGGACTTTTTCCTTTTTCTTTCTGATCAAACAAAAATTGTATCAAATAAATTGTGTATACATTAATTAGAAGAAATAATTTAGAATCAGAAACCACATGGCTTATAAAAAGAATCAAAGAGGATGTATTATCAAACACAAAACTAGTCTATAGTAATAAAACACAATAAACACACTGCAATTAATTTTGCTAATACAGTCATGTGTCACTTAATGATGGGAATATATTCTGAGAAATGTGTTTTTATGCATTTTTTTGTGTGTGTATGTGAACATCACGGAGTGTACTTACACAAACCTAGATGGAATAGCCTACTATACACCTAGGCTATATGGTATAGCCTACTATACACCTAGGCTATATGGTATAGCCTATTGCTCTTATGTTATAAACCTATAAAGCAGGTTACTGTACTGAATACTGTAGGCAATTATATCACAATGGTAAGTATTTGAATGTCTAAACATAGAAAAAGTGCGGTAAAAATGTGATATTTTAATCTTATGGGACCACCATCATATGTGCAGTATGTTGTTGATTGAAATGTCATGTGGTACATAACTGTAGTTGTTTCTTCACTTTGAGATATGTTCTGTAACTGATGATTGCTGTCTTTATTAGAAACTATACCAGCCCGGAATGATATTTATCTCCCTACAGGTAATCTTAAGAAGCAAAGATTCAGTGGAGGCACAACTTGTTTTTTGTCCAGGTTCACCAAATCCAGAATGTATGTGTTGGCAGTCCTGAGTATCACTGTTAAATAAACCAAATTGAGAAAGCCTAACTATAGGGTCAATTGAACAATTTTCTAGTCTAGGTGTATAGTCGGCAATCAGCTAACTTTAGCTATGATGTGTGTCTGAAACAACACAGTACCTCAGACTCCTCTAAAGGGGGAAATGGGCCAATACAAGTCAATAAAAAAGCCAACTCCTGTTTTATTTTTAATAGATCCTTACATAATGTTTACTTTGTCCCTGCCTCTAAAGACATTATATATATTAATTTATTTAATCCTCGTAACAATGCTATACAGAAGGTACTGTTGTGGCATGCCAGGTCTCACCAACGCAGGCCTCCATAACAACTGTTTCAGTACTGAGTGGTTAAGTTAAATATTAAAAGCCAGTGCCCTTATACAAAGGCTGAGGTGTAACAAAAGCCCACCAAGAATTTTGCCTAGGCTGTTTCCTGGGAAGGAATTATTAACAGGACCCATGTAGGATTAAACAAGTTTTATTGTGGGTCTGTAGAAAGTCCCTAGGCCTCTACAAACAAGTTTATTGGGGGTCTGAAGGAACTCCCCAAACCTCCGTGATTTGGAGACAATCATACAAGGAGGCAAGATAAGGGTAATCACCCCAGCATCTGAACTCATTTTAATTAAGTAAATTTACTGAGGCTCCAGAGGAAGCTCTTTAGGACTGAGACCTTAGTTATAGATTAAAAGAAGTTAATCACCCATGTCTTTTGATGAATGCACACTTACACATAGACTTAGAAAGTATATAAGCTCTGAAAAACTTTGTAATTTTGAGTTGGTCTGATGATAATTTCCAGGCCTTCTCCCTGTAACTGGTTGGAGAAATAAAAACTCTCTTCCTCCGCAGTTCATCTGCATCTCATCATTGGGCCACAAGAAATAGCAGCCTGACTCTCATTTTGGTCTGGGAAAACTATGATTATCCTGATTTTGTAGGTTACAAAAATGAGGCACAGAGAAGTGACTTAAGTCATTGTTGGATGAATTTTGTCTGTGCTGGTTTCTGACGCTAACCTGCCCCTCCGACTTTGGCCTTCTGACTTCTCCTGTAAAATGGTGCTTACATAACCTGTAGTCTTTCAGGGTGAAAGGAAGAGACCTGCCCAAGCTATATGAAATGGTGGGGATTTATGAGAATTACCAAGAAGTGAGAAACCACCAAAATCTATTTTAGCACTATGGAGTTAGGCTGGGTCCTGAGGCTTCCGAGGCCGGTGGGTACCTACAGCAGGCATCAGGGAGAACTGAATCAATAGCTCATTGCTAATCAAAATACAATAGCTCCCTAAGTGCCCTAGTTATTTTATTGTTTCATAAGAATGGTTAATGTCATTAATCCCTGTTGCCTTTTTTGTGTGCAATTTAATTCCAGGACATCTGACTAGGGGCATTTTGTCACTGTCTCACATTAAAAAGAACTTTCAGGGAGGAGTTTGGTACCAAAGTACCTCTCTGATAATTGACCTCTCTCACCAGTATCCACAGTTGTTTCAGCTTTGGGCACCAAAACCGGGTTCCTTCAGTCATGATGGAAGTGGCAGTATCACATTATCTAAGGCTTTGCAACTTTACAAAGACTCACCTAGGGCAACTGTTATCCAAAGGGAGCCCTGGCGCTAGTAGACACTCGGAGGTTTACAGTCTCTTGTACCATGCAGGTTTCCAAAGCTTCACATTGATCTCATTGCCCAACCTGACTCCTTCGAGATGAAAGACTGAGTTTGCTGCCTGGCCATATTGAGAGGAGAAGCAGAGGGGCTTCTCCGTCCGGTGGGGACTTGGAGAACTTTTCTGTCTAGCTAAAGGTTTGTAAACGCACCAATCAGCACTCTGTAAAAACGGACCAATCAGCACTCTGTAAAATGGACCAATCAGCAAGATGTGGGTGGGGCCAAATAAGGGAATAAAAGCTGGCCACTGGAGCCAGCAGCTGCAACCCACTGGGGTCCCGTTCCACACACTCTGGGAGCTTTGTTCTTTCACTCTTCGCAATAAATCTTGCTGCTCACTCTTTGGGTCCGCACCACCTTTAGGAGCTGTGACACTTGCTGAGAAGGTCCACGGCTTCACTCCTGAAGTCAGTGAGACCACGAACCCACTGGAAGGAATAAACTCTGGACACACCTGAACATGGGAAGGAAGAAACTCTGGACATACCATCTGTAAGAACTGTTCACTCATAGTGAAGGTCCACAGCTTCATTCTTGAAGTCAGCAAGACCAAGAACCCACCAGAAGGAACAAATTACGGACACGGTATCATCTCTATCATTCCAACAGATTTTTGGACTTTCTCTCCATGATTGTAGTAATCCTTTGATGATATCCCTATGTATACCTCTTGTCTGAACTTTACATTTCCCATGTCCACCCTGAACTCATCAATATCTTCCCCAGACCTGTTCTTCTTCCTGTGTAACGTGTTGGTGAATGTAGTTACTATCTTTCCTATAGAGAAGGAAAAGAAAACTATAGATTAGTTATCAATATTCATTCAGCTTTCCTCCATCTTCTAAATGCCCATCAAATAAGCCCTTTTCTTTCTTTTTCTTTTTTTTTTTTGTGAGACAGAGTCTCGCTCTGTCACCCAGGCTGGAGTGCAGTGGCACGATCTCGGCTCACTGCAAGCTCTGCCTCCCGGGTTCACACCATTCTCCTCCTGCCTCAGCCTCCTGAGTAGCTGGGACTACAGGCGCCTGCCACCGTGCCCGACTAATTTTTGTATTTTTAGTAGAGACGGGGTTTGCCTGTGGTCTCGATGTCCTGACCTCGTGATCCGCCTGCCTCGGCCTCCCAAAGTGCTGGGATTACAGGCGTGAGCCACTGTGCCTGGCCCAAATAAGCCCTTTTCTTTCTATTCCCACTATCTTCTTCTCTTTAGTTCACATCACCACATAAATAATTTCTAGACTGTGATTGCAATAGTTTCTTAAATACCTGAATATCAACTCTTTCCAGAGTTATATTTTTTTTCTCAACAAAAATATTATCCCATCAACCTTCTAATGAAAAATTTTAATGCATTTCCAGAATTTTAGTGATTTTAGGCTTGGACATGTAGTTCAAGATCTGACTCCAAGTTGCTTCTCTGTGTCTCCTGCCATTTTCCCTCCTGTTCCCTTTGATGCCTTGGAGTCATCTTTGCATTTCCTTTGAACAAAGCATTCCATGACATGCAGTGATCTTTCAAATATGCTGCTCTGTCTTTCTAGAATGTCTGCCTTAACTTCTGGGTCCTTTTCTCCACCTTGTTAACCAAGGTAAGGCACTCATCTCAGGTGCAAAATTTAAGAGGGTACTAAAATTCAGAAATCAAGATAACTGGCACATTTAATGCAATATTTTAAGAGGTTAACTTAAAAATTCATGATGAACAAATACTGTAATACAGATGGAATCTGATCCCACATTTCCATGATCCTGCCTCACCCTAATCGTGGCCCTTGTTCCAATAAAACGTTACTAAAACAAGTGGTCAACCTGAAGACTATAGTTTGCCATGCAACTTTTAAAAAATATGGCATTGAAATATCATTTATATTGATTACTGAGTATTTTGGCACTCCTTAAGTTATGTGCCTGAGGCAAGTGCCTAACTCACTCCTACTTTCCCTTCAGATTCAGCTCAGGGAAGGCTTCAAAGTGGGTGACTAACTGCATCTGGTATCTGCCTTCTCCGCAAAGAAGAACCAAAATAGCAAGTAGATACTCACATATTGAATAGATCACCTAAGGCAGAATGCTGGAATTCAACAGAGAAGTGATAGGAAACACCTAAAGCAAGGGAGGAGAGGGAAGTGAAGCAGCCTGCATGGCCAGGATTGGCTGGGAGCCTGGAGAGACTCCCCAGTGTGGGGAAAGAGTAAGTGAGTGATCTCTAGCCGTTCACATCCTCACCATAGACTTCTGCAATCCTGGCCATGGGAGAGCCCCTCAACCCAAATGGACCCTAAGACTAGCATAGAGAGCTGCCTGGACACTGTGTGATGGCATTGCTCTAGAGGAAGCTCATGTCAGGTCCTATATACCTTCCAGGTTCTAAGCAACTCCACAAAGTCACTATTTTGAGAGCTTATCAACCACCAGACTGCATTCTGTCTTGGGGATCAATGACTCCTTTGTCTTTATATCCCAGAAGCCCCATGTTCATTTCCTGCATGCAGCTGGGCACTGCTGCTGGCTGCTGCCACCAGGGACAAAATGTGAGCCATTGGCAGCAAACCCACTGCTCCCAGTCACAGGGCTGCCATATATTTAAAGGTGCCCCAAGGAAAGGCTACCCTACTTATAGCCACCACCTGGGGCTGAAGCATGTGCTCCCCAGCCTCCTGTTTATAGCTGCTGCCACCAAAAGCAACCCTATCATCCCCAGGAGCAAGACTGCAGCACCACTGCTGCTGTTCCTGTCTCCCAAGCATTCCATCAGGGCTTGGGGATCACACTGCCCCTGCCTGCCACAGCCAGAACCTGTACGCACTACTAGGGGACTTGAGGACTGGCCTTCTTAGTCTAGCTCCACCCCCTCCCCAAGTACCCAAGCATGATACTAGAAAACTAACAAAGAAACATTAGATGTTCCTACCACTGATGCCAGCAAATACGGCCCTGGGGCCCAAGGACAGGTAGGCTCAGTCTGCTGCTGCCACCACTGGGCTCAAGGACTGGCCTACCTAATGTCCTCATCCCTGGCAAAACTTCATCACAGCCTCTGCTAACAACTGCATCCTAAGCAACCAAAGAAATCATAAATGCTACTGACACTGCATATAGCCAAAGAAATCATATGGAGACTACAATACTGCATACACCCAGAATCAAAGCCAAAGTTCCTTGTCCAATCAACACCATAGAAACACCTTCAAGAAAAATTCCTTCTCTATGAAAGCAAATGTTAAAAATTGGAAGAGGTGATGGTTACACCAGATGTGCAGGTGTCAGTGTAAGGATATAAAAAATTTGAAAAAGCAAGGAAAAATGACACCTCCAAAGGAATACAGTCATTATCAAGCAACAGATGCCAATGAACAAAAAATTTATGAAAATTTAGATAAAGAATTCAATATAATGTCATTAAAGAAGCTCAGAATAACAGAAGATACAAGAAAGGTAACTCAGAAAAACAGTTTAAATAAATAAATAAAAAACAAGATATGAAGGAGAAATTTCCCAAAAAGATCCATGTCATAAAAAAGAACCAAACAGAAATTCTGGAACTGAAGAATTCATTAACTGAAATGCAAAATATATTTCAAAGTTTAAACAATCTAGAGTAGCAGAAGAAAGAATTTTAGAACTTGAAGACAGGCCTTTTGAAATAACCCAGTCACACAAAAATTTAAACAAAGAATAAAAAAGAATGAACAAAGCCTTCTTTGTAAAATGGAACACCATAAAGTAACCAAATATTCACATTGTTGGTGTCCCAGAAGCCAAAGGAAAAGACAAAAAGGGAGAGAAGACCTACCTAACAAAATAATAGCTGAATTATTGCTCCTAAGTCTAGCAAGAGATTTAGACATCCAGATACAGGAAGCTCATAGATCCCAAGACAGATAAAGTACAAAAAGGTCTTATCACTATATTGGACAATATACCCAAACTGTTAAATGAAAAGACAAAGAGAGAATTATAAAAATGGCAAGAGAAAAGCACCTAGTCATTTGTTAAGAAAACCCATATAAGACTAACAGCAGGTTTTTCAGCAGAAACCTTACAGGACAGAAGATCATGGAACGATATATTCAAAGTGCTGAAAGAAAAAAAAAAAACTGTCAGTCAAGAATACTATACCCATCAAAGCTATCCTTGTTGGGTACAGGGAGAAATACAGTCTTTTCCAGATAAGCAAAAGCTAAGGGAATTCATCACCACTTGAGTGACCTTGCAAGAAATGCTTAAAGGAGTCCTAAACATGGAAGTGAAAGGACACTATCTACCATCATGAAAACCCATAAAAATATAAAACACTCTGGTAAAGCAAACACAAGAATGAGGAAGAGAAAGGACTTAATGTTACCACTACAGCAAACCACTAAACCACAATGATAAACAAGCAGAACCAAAGGAACAAAGAATAAACAAAACAACTAGAAATCAATATTCATTCTTAATAAAATAAAGAAATAAGCCCTCAGATATAAATAATAACCTTCAACGTAAATGAAGTAAACTTTCCGCTCAAAAGATATACACTGACTGAATGGATAAAGAACCATGACCCCAACTATATGCTGCATAAAAGAAACTAATCTCACGTGTAAAGAAACATAGAGACTGAAAGTTAAGGGTTGGAAAAAAAAGATACCCCATGCATACAGAAACCAAAAATAAGCAGGAGTAGCTATGTCTATGTCAAATAAAACAGACTTTAAGTAAAAATAGTAAGAGATAAAGAAGGCCATTGTATAATGATAAAGAAATCAGTTCAGCAAGAGAATATAACAATTTTAAACACGTGTACCCACCATTGGAGCACTGATATAAATGAAGCAAATATTATTAAATCTAAAGAGAAGGATAGACTCCAAAACAATCATAATTGGAGACTTCAACACTCCACTCTTAACATTAGGCAAATCATCTAGAACGATAATTAACAATGAAACATTGGATTTAAACTTCATGTTAGACAAAATGAATCTAACACATATTCACGGAACATTTCATCCTACAGCTGGAGAACACACATTGTTCTCATCAGCACATGGGACATTCTCCAGGATACACTATGTATTAGACACCAAACAAGTCTCAACATATTTTTTTTTTAAATTGACACTATGTCAAGTATCTTCTGAGACTTTAATGGAATACAACTAGAAATCAATAAAAGAGAAACTTTGGAACTTTACAAATACATGGAAATTAACAAGATGCTCCACAGTGACCATCTGGTAAAGAAAGATGTTAAGGAAGAAATAAAATAATGTATTGAAACAAATAACAACTGAAACTTAACATACCAAAATATATGGGATACAGCAAAAGAAGTGACAAGAGGAAAGTTTACAGCAATAAACACACACATCAAAAAAGTAGAAATAGTTAAAAAAAACTAACAAGTCACCTCAAGGAACTAGAAAAACAAGAACAAACTAAATCCCAAATCAGTAGACACAAAGAAGTAGTAAAGACCAAAGCAGAACTAAAAAATAATACAAACTAAAAAAATTCAAAAAATCAATGCAATGAAATGTTGGTTTTTGAAAAGACGATAAACTATTAGCTAGACTAACAAAGATGAAAAGAGACAAGACTCAAATAAATAACATGAGAAATAAAAAGGAGACATTACAACGAATACTACAGAAACAAAAAAGTTCATCAGAAAGAAGTAGAAACCTGAACAGACTGATAACTAATAATGAAATTGAATCAGTAATAAAAAGTCTCCAAACAAAGAGAAGTCCAGGACTGGATGGCTTCATTGCAGAATTCTACCAAATTTACAAGAAAAACTAACACTAATTATCCTCAAACTATACAAAAAATTAAAGAAGAGAGAATTTTCCTTAGCTCATTCTATGAGGCCAGAATTACCCTGATACCAAAACCTAAATAAGCAAGAAAAAAAGAAAATTACAAGCCAATATCCCTGATGAACATAGATGCCAAAATCTCTAATGAAATACTAGTAAACTAAATCCAACAGCACATCAAAAAGATAATGCATCATGATTAAGTGGACTTTATCCCAGAGATGCAAGGATGGTTCGGTATACACAAATCAATATACCTGACACATTATATGAACAGAATGAAGGACAAAAACCGTATGATCATTTCAAAAAAAACGGAAAAGGCATTTGAAAAAATTCAACATCCATACATGATAAAAATTCTCAACAAGCTAGGCATAGAAGGAACAGATCTTAACACAATAAAGTTTATATGCAAAAAATCTGTAGATAAGAGCATATTGAATGGAAAAACGAAAGCCTTTTCTCTAAGAACAGCAACAAGAAAAGGATGCCCACTTTCCCCACTCCTATTCAACAAAGCCTTAGAGCATTCAGGCAAGATCAAGAAAGAAAGAGCATAAAAATTGGAAAGGAAAAATCAAGTTAGCCTTGTTTGCATATGAGATGATCTTGTATTTAGAAAAACCTAAAGAATCTACCAAAACACCCTTAGATCTCATAAATAAGTTTCAGGAAACAAATTTAACATACAAAAAACCAGTAGTGTTTCTACATATCAACAGTGAGCTGGCTGAAAGAGAAATCAGAAGGTAATCCCACTTAAAATAGCTACAAAACATGTAAAATACCTAGGAATAAAGCCAAAATAGACAAATGGGATCTAATTGAACTAAAGAGCTTCTGCCCAGCAAAAGAAATGACCATCAGAGTGAACAGGCAACCTACAGAATGGGAGAAAATTTTTGCAATCTACCCATCTGACAAAGGGCTAAAATCCAGAATCTACAAAGAACTTAAACAAATTTACAAGAAAAAAAGCAAACAGCCCCATCAAAAAGTGGGTAAAGGATATGAACAGATACTTCTCAAAAGAAGATGTTTATGCATCCAACAGACACATGAAAAAATGCTCCTCATCACTGGTTATCAGAGAAATGCAAATCAAAACCACAATGAGATACCATCTCACTCCAGTTAGAATGGTGATCATTAAAAAGTCAGGAATCAACAGATGCTGGAGAGGATGTGGAGAAATAGGAACACTCTTACACTGTTGGTGGGAATGTAAACTAGTTCAACCATTGAGGAAGATGGTGTGGCGATTCCTCAAGGATCTAGAACTAGAAATATCATTTAATCCAGCAATCCCATTACTGGGTATATACCCAAAGGTTTATAAATCATGCCACTACAAAGACACATGCACACGTATGTTTATTGCAGCACTATTCACAATAGCAAAGACTTGGAACCAACCCAAATGTCCATCAATGAGAGACTGAATTAAGGAAATGTGGCACATATATACCATGGAATACTATGCAGCCATAAAAAGGATGAGTTCACGTCCTTTGCAGAGACACCGATGAAGCTGGAAACCATCATTCAAGCAAACTATCACAAGGACAGAAAACCACACATGACATGTTCTCACTCATAGGTGGGAATTGAACAATGAGAACACTTGGACACAGGGCAGGGAACATCACACATGGGGGCCTGTCGTGGGGTGGGGGACAGGGGGAGGGATTGCATGGAGAAGTACCTAATGTAAATGACGAGTTAATGGGTGCAGCAAACCAACATGGCACATGTATACCCATGTAACAAACCTGCATGTTGTGCACATGTACCCTAGAACTTAAAGTGTGTGTGTATATATATATATATATATATGCTTTATATATATATTTAATATATAATATATATTAAATATTAAATATATATAAAGCATATATATACATATTTAAAAAAAAGACAATGGTCAAATGATGGGCAGCACTTTTACAGTGTGTGGGGGCAGGAGCTACAGTGTGTGAGCAGAGCAGTACAAGTGTATCCCAGGGAGCAGCATTCTCAGCTGCTTTCAAGTGGCCTCTGAGTTTGGTTATTTTAGTTTATTTGGTTTCATTGTTTTTGGAAAACGCTTTTTTTAAATTATAAAAATCTAACATGCTCACCAAAAACCTTAGAAAATACAATGCATTTTAGCAAAATAAAAATAAAGATTGATCCTACCACCCTGACATAAATTCTATGAATACTTGCTATACATCCATCTCAACATCTGTTTGTTTCTTAGTTTAGCATTGCTTTCAGGGTACAGGCTGTGTCCTCACTCCTTCGCCATAACGGCTTGCTCCTGATTCTTCTCTGCCTTTCTCTGGCTTGAGACATCACCTTGCATTACAGCCCCCTTCTGTCCTAGGTGCACTGCTGGACTCTGTTTCGGCCAGCTTCCATTAAATAAGGTGCAAAGATGATTTTGATGTACAATTATATTTTGTTGTTATGTGTGAGTGTTATGGCATAAAATAGATACTATTAGAAGAGTTTTATATGTTCAAGTTTTATATAGTTCAGGCAATTTTATCATGCTGAAAATCTTGGAATGACTCCATTGGGGGTACCAGGACTGCTCAGATATGATTTAAATAATCCCTTCTGTTCTCCTCTTTATTCTGCCTCCAAGGTAAAGCCTGTTCTTAGCCTGTGTGAATTTAGATCCCACTCTTACACTTTCCATGTCTCCATCCTTCCTTCTACTTGTCATCCGCAGGTTCTGTTCTTCCTCTATCCTTCAGTTTTTAGTCTATTTCCTTTTTCTCCTTTTTGATAATTTGCTATTCCCCTTCCACGACATCACCACTACACATCTCTGCTCAGCTAACTATTTTCAGTTCTTCTCCCTTTGGCTTGCTTTATGCTTTATCAGCTCTGTGTCCATTCCTCATCCTCCAGTCCCTTTACAGGCCTGCAACTGGCCTAATTGAATCCATGTCACTATGGCTTCAGAATACCATCTTCCTAATACACATCTTCATTTGCAAAGCAACACAAAACAGATTTTTGCTACTACCAAAAGTAAGATTACTCCTCACACACGTGAAAAATTCAACACAGACAACTCTAACCTTCTTACATAATCATCATTTTATGGAGATGAACTTCTTTTCTATACTACTTGTACTTACTTGTACTTCTGTTTGTTATCGTTGCTTGTAAGGTTGTTTTGGTTTCCTACAGCCTAGGCTTTCATGTCATCTGAATTGTGGATGTAAATTGGAGGAAATGTTTCATTTCTAAAAATATCATAGCTTTTGGATACATAGTAATTGCTAACTCTCTCTCTCTTTTTTTTTTTTTAAATGGAATCTCGCTCTGTTGCCCAGGCTGGAGTGCAATGGCATGATCTCAGCTCACTGCAACCTCCAACATCAGGGTTCAGGCAATTCTCCTGCCTCAGCCCCCCGAGTAGTTGGGATTACAGGTGTGCAACACCACGCCCAGCTAATTTTTTATTTTTAGTAGAGACAGAGTTTCACCATGTTGATCAGGCTGGTCTTGAACTCCTGACCTCAGGTGATCTGCCTACCTTGGCCTCCCAAAGTGCTGGGATTACAGGCATGAGCCGCCCCACCAGGCCATAATAGCTAACTCTTAAATGATACTTGCTATGTGCTGCAATATTATAAATGCTTTTCATATATTTGCTCATTTAATTCTCATAACAGTCTTATGAAGGAGGCAATACTACTATCCCCACTTTACAGCTGAAATGATTTTAAAAATTAGCTGGAGAACATTGCATTTAGGAAAAAATAATTCAAAATTGATGGCAGTGGAGAATGGTTGTAGTATCTTAACTTGAAATTATGTTTGTGTATGTGTGTGTGTGTGTGTGAATTTGTGTGTAAATGTGATCAAAACTGCATTTATACACCCATGGTTTTGAAATACTTGATCTCTTGGAAAATGATGTAACAATTTTTCTTATTCCATGAATGAGATATATAGAGGCGTATAATCTAAAAGAGCAGTTCATTTTAAAATCAATATACTCAGAATATACTTAAATACCGGGCTATTAAATTCTTTTTTCCATGGATGTTTCACATCTGGAACTTCCTGTAACAAAATAGAAATGCTTACTAAACAATCTAGCCCTCTTTTGCTTATACATTAGATCTTTGGCATGAGATCAGGGAAGATCTGGGTGTGAGGCTTCAGACTTCAGATCTTGAGGATGGCTGAGATTGTGTGGTCCTATTGCCCTTTCTATTATTTTACACTTTGTGATTTTTCCCCCTCTTGAAGGTTGATTTTTTTTATTTCTTGACAGATAAAGAAGAAGATAAGTAAACACTTCAGTTCTAAGAATTACTTTTATTTAACATAAATCAGGAGTTACTCATGTTAACAAGCTTAGAAGGTTATTTAGCAGGTTCCTTGGCAACAAACCTTTCAATGCATTTTAAAGTAATATCATAAATTCCATACTTGCTTGTTGAATGAATGAATTGAAATTGAAGTCAGGTAGGTTAATGTCAATAGGCATAATTTGGCCTCAACATCTACAAAGAGCTTAAAACAGCAGGGTTTTATTTTAAAAATTGCTTTCCTGTCTTTTAAGTAACCACAACAGTTCTATTATGGGCAGCCTTCTACCTGAGGAAACTGACACACTGAAGCAAGTGACTTAGTGAGACCAAAAAATAAATGAACAGTGTGAGGTCTGCAAAAGGGGAGACAGTGGCATTAGATCACACTTCATTGTAAAAATAATTGGAGGGAGAAATAATTCTGTATCTTACAAGACATGACTGTTTTGTTCTTTACCAGACTACTTCGAATTGAAACAGGAAGCCTGTTGTATTGAGATCTATGTCTTGGCAACTATGAGCAAAGCCATGGGTGTGAAATAAAACATGGGCATTTTCAATTCACATTTTTCTTAAAAAGTCATGATGCAATTGAAGGTTTTTAGTAACACTGATTCACTGCCTCGATCAACATGTTTCCTAACTCCTGGTTCTATTTTGAGACTAGATGGAACATTAATACACTTAACACGATTCTTTTAGGATCTGTCCCACCTACAGCAAACTGTTCAGGAGCTGAAAACACAAAAGAACCTTGGTAATGTCTCAGGAATTGCAGACCTCAAACTAGGCTCAGGTGAGAAGTGGAGCCACTGCGCTTCCCTCTTTCTACTCCTTGGTTTTCTTGGTAGCAAACCAAAAGCACCTAAAGTGATACATGGTAATGGAGAACCATCCAAAGGTAGGGCTAATAACTCGATCATTCTCCTAGCTCTCAGCACTGGCCTTCTTTCTTCATCATCCAAGATCTATACATAGTTAAAAGTGAGTGAGGTCTATCCTGCCTTTGAAGAACCCATAGTCTAGTGGGAGATGCTGACATTAGTATTATTACTGTAATATAGTGTCATAAATAAAATTCTAGGGGATATTCTGCTAGTGCAGAGGGGAAAGCATCAACCAATGAAGTGTAGAGGGCAAGGGAATGTTTGGTAAGAGAAGGATTCTTGGAGACAAATAGGAAATGTTTCCCTGATGGAAAGAGGCTTTGGTGTAGTGTGGGGAAGAACCATGCATGCAGAAAACAATAGCTTGTGTGATTCAGAAACAAGGTAAAAGACTGTGGAGTGTGTGTGAGGAGGCACAAGATGTTCCCTATGGTGACAATGTAAATGTGGGAAGGGGGAACTGAGGGATGTGAAGCAGGGGCCTGCACAGAGAGGCTCTTGGATGCTGTGCTAAGGATCTTAGATCTTATTCTGTAGAACATGGAGAAGCCTCGAAATGTGTGAGGCAGGAAATGACATGAGTAGGTTTCATTTTCGATAAACCGCAGTGGTAGCTGTGCATGGGATAAACTTGAGAGGAACAACCCTGAAAGCAAGAAACCGGTTAGAAATTTGGAGATATTGGTGATAATCACTGAGTTTCAGTTTCAATTTCATAACACTCATAAGAAAATATTGCAATGAGACAGCGTAAGGCATGGGGTTTGAAGCCAGAGGGCCTGGGTTTGAATTTGCCTGTGTTACTCCAGGCAAATCATTAAAGTCCAAGACTCATGTGTAGAGTCTTCCTTCATGTGTAGAATGGGAATAAAAATAAAGCTGTCTTATCAGTTAGTATGAAAATTAACAAGATGATCAATGCAAATTGCATAGCACAGTGCTTGGTATTATATAGCCCTTGATAAATATTAACCACTATCATCACATAATAAACAGCAAAATAAAGAAATGTAGTAAGAAATATCAATGAAATTTCTGAAAAATATAACCACTCATTCCAATCTAATACTGTAAAAAAATGATCGTTTTTATTCCAGCAAGGACTCAGGAAAAAAACCTATCAAAATGAAAACAGCAAAGGGAACTTAGTTGTTTTCTGCAAAAGAAATCCTGCCCTTGTTGACATGTACCCTGGTTTCCAAAATGCAAAGTTGTATAGTTTTCATGACCTTGTGTTAAGTTACACATAGGGAAAATGCAAAGTAGGTATCATTATTTCTGCAGTGTGTTAACTGATGATAAAAAATATTTGATGTAGTCAGTAGCTACAGATCCTATCAGTACTTGAAAGGCTTCACTGCCCAGAGTTGATGAATAAAACCGCAGTTCTTTTTGGCTGGCTTCATAAGATCTCACAGTATCTTTCCTTGACTGGCTGATGACAATGGAATGAAGTACAGGTGTGAGTTTCATTGTATTCAACCTATTTTTAACGTATTTAGTAGTTTTCTTTTTCTATCATTTTGATGTATTTAAATTTTGTAATTTTATTTGTTTGTTTTATATTTAAAAATTGATTTATTTGCAAATGTTTCAAAATATGGGAGTTTAAAACAACATTTAAAAACCCCCTCCACTTTACTACTCTATATTCTTCTACCCAACCTAGTGGTCTGTCCTAACCTTGAAGATGAGACCTGAGCAATTATAGGCTTCTTGATAGAATCAATCCCTTAGTCATTCTAAAGATGACTACGATTACAGGGCAAATTTTACCAGGAAGCACTTCTATTATTATTATGAAGATAACAGTTCTCTTTATCTTTAGCTCATCTGCAGTCTATTTGTAAACTATGCATTTAGCCAAAAGCACATAAAAATTGTTTCAAGGGAAAATACTCATTTTTATAAGCTAGTAGACTAAAACGATTTAAATCCATAGAAGAAGTAGAAAATAACTAGTCAGAAAAGACTTTTTATTTTTTGTGGGGAATTTTTGGATATCACGACAAATATAGTAGAAAACACTATTTTTTTTAATGAAGTGCCAAACACCAAACTATAAAACTCCCAGCAGACAGCAGAAAAACAGGTAGATTAACTACGGTTTGGCCATGAATTCTTAGATACTGCATGAAAAACACAATCCATTAAAGAAGAAATTAGTATACTAGATTTTTTAAATTAAAAACTGCTTTACATAGATAATGTTAAGAGAATAAAGCAAGCCACAGACTGGGGGAAAACCTTTGAAAAATACACATCTAGAAGAACTGGTATTCAAAATATGCAAAGAATTCTTAAAACTCAAAGGTAAGAAAGCAAACAACCCAATTAAAAATAAGCAAAATATCTCAACAGACAATCAAAGAAGATATCAAATGGCAAATGAGAAAATGCTCAGTATCATATGTCAGTAGGGATTTAAATTAAAACAACAACGAGATGCCACTATATAACTATTAGAATGGCAGATATCCAAAATACTGACAACACTAAATTCTGCTAAGGATGTGGAGTAATAGGCACTTTCATTCATTGCTGGTAGAAGTGCAAAATGGTACAGCCACTTTGGAAGACTATTTAGCAGTTTCTTGTAGAACTAAACACACTCTTACCATATGATCCAGCAATATGCTCCTTGGTATTTACCCAAAGGAGTTAAAATCTTATGTCCACACAAAAACCTGCACATGAATGTTTATAGCAGCTTTATTCATAGTTACTAAAACCTGGAAGCAACCAAGATGTCCTTTAACAGGTGAATGAATAAATAAATGGTGGTACATGCAGACTATCAAATATTATTCAGTGATAAAAAAGAATAAGCTTTCAAATCATGACATACATAGAGAAAACTTAAATGCATTTTACTAAGTGAAAGAAGCCAATCTGAAAAAGCAATGTGTTGTATGATTTCAACTATATGATGTTCTGAAAAAGGCAAAACTATGGAGACACTAAAAAGATAAGTGGTTGCCAGGAGCTCAAGCGGAAGGAAGGAGGGATGAATAGGTGTAGCACAGGGGATATTTAGGTCAGTGAAACTAGTAGTCTGTAGTATTCTGTAATGGTGAATATATATCATTATACGTTTGTCAAAATCCATAGAATATACAGCACAAAGAGTAAACTCTAATGTTAACTATGTACATTAGTTGATGATAACACATCAATATCGGCTCATTATTTATAACAGGAACACAGCTAGTTGTAACCACATCTTTAGTGATTTTCAGGCAAAGTGTGACACTTGGTTAGAGAGACAGAGAATTTCATAGTTTAGTTCACTGAACTCCTGGAGTTTTATGGCAAAGAATCAGAACCACCAGCTTTTTCTGTTCATTTATTTCTGTCTCTGGGTTCATAAATATACATATATCCCTCTTCCCCCCAACAAAGGAGGGCAAATTAGGGTGATCCAGGCAGGATACAAAAAAATGTATGCATTGGACAGCCTAATTTCAGGCAAGAGAAGGATCATGTAAGGCTTAAAATTTGAGAAAATCATTTTTTTGTTCATTACCATGTATATTAAGTTTAAAACTAAAATACACATACACGAAGTTATAATATGGTGTGATATGAACCACAATGAAGATATTTAAAAATCCAGTAATTCTGAATACGACTTTCGCATTAGACCCTGGTTCTAATCTTCACTCTGCCACTAGCTACTGATGTCGGGCAAATTGCTTAACGTTCTTTAGCTTCAGTTTATTTGTCTGGAGAAAACTCATAGCAATATTTACCTAATAGAATCATTGTCAAGATTAAATGTGATGTTTATGAAATGTTTAGCACAGTGCCTGTCATACAATAAAAACATAATAAATAGTGGTAAATAATGTGTGCTCTCTATTCTCAGTGTATCATGTACATATCATGCTTATATGTACTACAATTTTTCCTATACATGCATACATATGATAATGTTTAACTTATAAATTAGGCACAGTAAGAGATGAACAACAACTGATAATAAAATATAAACATTACAACAATATGCAGGCATCATTTCTCTTGCACTTGGGGCTCTTATTAATTAAAATATGAATTCCTTGAACACAAGCACCCTGATATCATACCAGTCAATCTGATAACTGAGATAGCTACTAAGTGCCTAATGAGCAGGTAGTATATACATCATGAATCTGCTGGGCAAAGGGATGATTCACATCCCAGGCAGAACAGATGGGACTGTGTGAGGCTTCATCATGGTACTCAGAACAGTGCACAATTTAAAACTTAGGAATAGTTTATTTTTGCAGATTTCCATTTAATATTTTCAGACCATGGCTGTCATTCCATTTTCTGTAGCTATGACAGAACAATTGAGATTGGGTAATTTATAAAGAAAAGTGATTTGTTTAGCTCATGATTCTGGAGACTGGGAGGTTAATGATCATGTGACCACATCTGGTGAGGACTTTGTGTTGCAACGTAGCATGGTGGGTGGCATCGCATGGTGGGAGAGCATGCAAGAGCAGCTAGAGGGTGTGTGCAAAAGGGACAAAGTGAGAGTGGCCACCATGTTGTATAAGAACGCGCTCTTGAGGTACCTAATCCAGTTCCACGAAAACAATAATTCACTCCTACTGATATCAAGCCTTTTATGAGGGAAGAGTCCTCGATTTAAATGCCTCTTATGGATCCCACCACCTTTCAACATTATTACATTGAAGACCAAGCCTCCATGTGAGTTTTGGTGAGGACAAGCCATATTCAAACTATAGCAGTTGTTGACCAAGAGTAATTGAAACTTCAGAAGGAGAAACTGTGGGTAAGTGAGAACTCCTCTATAACTTTATCCTAAGTCTTATAAATACTACTGTGAACTCAGTCCTTTCAGGACCAACTTGAATTGTGTCGCACAGTATGATCTGTATTGAATTTTCTACCTTTAAACTATGAAGCATGAGAAAAGAGCTGTCCAGTGATGGAAGACATTTTTTTTTTTGAGATTTTTAAATTTCAATTTTGAATTTCTTTGTAAAAGGAAAGCTGTTGGTATTTATTTATTTATTTATTTTATTTATTTTTGAGGCGAAGTCTCGCTCTGTCACCCAGGCTGGAGTGCCGTGGCGCCATCTCGGCTCACTGCAAGCTCCACCTCCGGGGTTCACGCCATTCTCCTGCCTCAGCCTCCCGAGTAGCTGGGACTACCGGTGCCCACCACCACGCCCAGCTAATTGTTTTTGTATTTTTAGTAGAGATGGGGTTTCACTGTGTTAGCCAGGATGGTCTCGATCTCCTAACCTCGTGATCCGCCCACCTCGGCCTTCCAAAGTGCTGGGAGCTGTTGATATTTACATAGTTATCTTGTATCTGCCATCTTATTGTATTGTCTTGTTAGTGCTGATAGATTTTTAATAATGTTTCCTGGATTTTTTTAAAAATGTAGATTCTATTTTTATTCAGGTATGATGAAGCCACAGATTGGCGGACAATTGCTATTTAAAAGTTTATTTCTGCTCGTGCCCAAGAGGAGGGGTCACACTGCACAGCTGCGGGAGAGAACACCGAGGTTGGTCACAGGCAGAGGACAGGGGAACTGTGGTTTTCGAGGGAAGGAATGGATGAGGCAGGGTAAGGCGGCTAAGCAGGTGGAGCACTAGCTAGTTGGAATAGCGTCAGCTGATTCCTGATTGTAGACTGCCCTCAGTTTTCTGATACATGACCTCAGGGTGGTTATTTTCCAACTTTTCCTGATCACAAATTATATAGTAATAAAAATCCTTTTATATATTTTTGCATGGGTATGTAATTCTGTAAGATACTTAGAAGTATAATTTCTGGATTAAAGAGTTTACATATTTTAAATATGTAATTTAATAAATTACAATTAAAATTTAATTTAATTCCCAAAAAGTGAAACATTTTAATGATCTCACCGATAGTATATGGAGAGGGTCCTTTTTCTCATACTCTCAATAATACAGGATTTTTTTTTGTTGTTGTTGTTGTTTCAAGGTATTATTTTATTAAATTTTTTAAAATTATACTTTAAGTTCTAAGGTACATGTGCACAACGTGCAGGTTCGTTACATAGGTATACATGTGCCATGTTGCTTTGCTGCACCCATTAACTCATCATTTACATTAGGTACTTCTCCTAATGCAATCCCTCCTCCTGTCCCCAACTCCATGACAGGCCCCCAGGTGTGATGTTCCCTGCCCTGTGTCCAAGTGTTCAAATTGTTCGGTTCCCACCTATGAGTGAGAACATGTGGTGTTTGGTTTTCTGTCCTTGTGATAGTTTGCTCGGAGTGATGGTTTCCAGCTTCATCCATGTCCCTGCAAAGGACATGAACTTATCCTTTTTTATGGCTGACTAGTATTCCATGGTGTATATATGCCACATTTTCTTAATCCAGTCTATCATTGATGGACATATATGTTGGTTCCAAGTTTTTGCTATTGTGAATAGTGCTGCAATAAACATACATGTGCATGTGTCTTTATAGTAGCATAATTTATAATCCTTTGGGTATATATATACCCAGTAATGGGATCGCTGGGTCAAATGGTATTTCTAGTTCTAGATCCTTGAAGAATCACCACGCTGTCTTCCACAATGGTTGAACTAGTTTACATTCCCACCAACAGTGTAAAAGTGTTCCTCTTTCTCCACATCCTCTCTAGCATCTGTTGATTCCTCATTTTTTAATGATGGCCATTCTAACTGGAGTGAGATGGTATCTCATTGTGGTTTTGATTTGTATTTCTCTGATGACCAGTGATGATGAGCATTTTTTCATGTGTCTGTTGGATGCATAAATGTCTTCTTTTGAGAAGTGTCTGTTCATATCCTTTGCCCACTTTTTGATAGGGTTGTTTTTTTTTTCTTGTAAATTAGTTTAAGTTCTTTGTAGATTCTGGATATTAGCCCTTTGTCAGATGGGTAGATTGCAAAAATTTTCTCCCATTCTATAGGTTGCCTGTTCACTATGATGGTCGTTTCTTTTGCTGTGCAGAAGCTCTTTAGTTTTATTAGATCCCATTTGTCTATTTTGGCTTTTGTTGCCATTGCTTTTGGTGTTTTAGTCATGAAGTCCTTGCCCATGCCTATGTCCTGAATGGTATTGCCTAGGCTTTCTTCTAGGGTTTTTATGGTTTTAGGTCAAACATTTAAGTCTTTAATCCATCTTGAATTAATTTTTGTATAAGGTGTAAGGAAGGGATCCAATTTCAGCTTTCTACATATAGCTAGCCAGTTTTCCCAGCACCATTTATTAAATAGGGAATCCTTTCCGCATTTCTTGTTTTTGTCAGGTTTGTCAAAGATCAGATGGTTGTAGACGTGTGGTGTTATTTCTGAGACCTGTGTTCTGTTCCATTGGTTTATCTCTCTGTTTTGGTACCAGTACGATGCTGTTTTGTTTACTGTAGCCTTGTGGTATAGTTTGAAGTCAGGTAGCATGATGTCTCCAGCTTTGCTCTTTTGGCTTAGGATTGCCTTGGCAATGTGGGCTCTTTTTTGGTTCCATATGAACTTTAAAGTAGTTTTTTCCAATTCTGTGAAGAAAGTCATTGGCAGCTTGATGGGGATGGCATTGAATGTATAAATTACCTTGGGCAGTGTGGCCATTTTCACGATATTGATTCTTCCTAACCGTGAGCATGGAATGTCCTTCCATTTGTTTGCATCCTCTTTGAGCAGTGGTTTGTAGTTCTCTTTAAAGAGATCATTCACATCCCTTGTAAGTTGGATTCCTAGGTATTTTATTCTCTTTGTAGCAATTATGAATGGGTGTTTACTCATGATTTGGCTCTCCATTTGTCTGTCATTGGTATATAGGTATACTTGTGATTTTTGCACATTGATTTTTTATCCTGAGACTTTGCTGAAGTTGCTTATCAGCTCAAGGAGATTTGGGGCTGAGATGATGGGGTTTTCTAAATATACAGTCATGTCATCTGCAAACAGGGACAGTTTGACTTCCTCTTTTCCTGATTGAATACCCTTTGTTTCTTTCTCTTGCCTGATTGCCCTGGCCAGAACTTCCACACTATGTTGAATAGGAGTGGTGAGAGTGGGCCTCCCAGTCTTGTGCCAGTTTTCAAAGGGAATGCTTGCAGTTTTTGCCCATTCAGTATGATATTGGCTGTGGGTTTGTCGTAAATAACTCTTATTATTTTGAGATACATTCCACCAATACCTAGTTTATTGAGAGTTTTTAGAATGAAGGGCTGTAGAATTTCGTCAAAGGCCTTTTCTGCATCTATTGAGATAATCATGTGGTTTTTGTCATTGGTTCTGTTTATGTGATGGATTATGTTTATTGATTTGCATAAGTTAAACCAGCCTTGCATCCCAGGGATGAAGCTGACTTGATCATGGTGGATAAGCGTTTTGATGTGCTGCTGGATTCGATTTGCCAGTATTTTATTGAGGATTTTTGCATCGATGTTCATCAGGGATATTGGTCTAAAATTCTCTTTTTTTGTTGTGTCTCTGCCAGGCTTTGGTATCAGGATGATGCTGGCCTGATAAAATGAGTTAGGGAGGATTTCCTCTTTTTCTATTGATTGGAAGAGTTTCAGAAGGAATGGTACCAGCTCCTCTTTGTAACTCTGGTAGAATTTGGCTGTGAATATTTCTGGTTCTGGACTTTTTTTAGTTGGTAGGCTATTAACTATTGCCTCAATTTCAGAGCCTGTTATTGGTCTATTCAGAGATTCAACTTCTTCCTGGTTTAGTCTTAGGAGGGGGTAGGTGTCCAGGAATCATTCCATTTCTTCTAGATTTTCTATTTTATTTCCATAGAGGTGTTTATAGTATTCTCTGATGTTAGTTTGTATTCCTGTGGGATCAGTGGTGATATCCCCTTTATCATTTTTTATTGCATCTATTTGATTCTTCTCTCTTCTCTTCTTTATTAGTCTTGCTAGTGGTCTATCAATTTTGTTGATCTTTTCAAAAAACCAGCTCCTGGATTCACTGATTTTTTGAAGATTTTTTTGTGTCTCTATCTCCTTCAGTTCTGCTCTGATCTTGGTTATTTCTTGCCTTCTGCTAGCTTTGGAATTTGTTTGCTCTTGCTTCTCTAGTTCTTTTCATTGTGACGTTAGGGTGTCTATTTTATATCTTTCCTGCTTTCTCTTGTGGGCATTTAGTGCTATAAATTTCCCTCTACATACTGCTTTAAATGTGTCCCAGAGATTCTGGTACATTGTGTCTTTGTTCTCATTCGTTTCAAAGAACATCTTTATTTCTGCCTTCATTTCCTTATTTACCCAGTAGTCGTACAGGAGCAGGTTTTTCAGTTTCCATGTACTTGTGTGGTTTTGAGCAAGTTTCTTAATCCTGAGTACTAAGTTGATTGCACTGTGGTCTGAGAGACAGTTAGTTGTGATTTGTGTTCTTTTACATTTGCTGAGGAGTACTTTACTTCCAACTATGTGGTCAGTTTTGGAATAAGTGCGATGTGGTGCTGAGAATAATGTGTATTCTGTTGATTTGGGGTGGAGAGTTCTGTAGATGTCTATTAGATCTGCTTGGTGCAGAGCTGAGTTCAAGTCCTGGATATCCTTGTTACACTTCTGTCTCGTTGATCTGTCTAATATTGACAGTGGGGTGTTAAAGTCTCCCATTATTATTGTGTGGGAGTCTAAGTCTCTTTGTAGGTCTCTAAGGACTTGCTTTATGAATCTGGGTCCTCCTATATTGGGTGCATATATATTTAGGATAGTTAGCTCTTCTTGTTGAATTGATCCCTTTACCATTATGTAATGGCCTTCTTTGTCTCTTTTGATCTTTGTTGGTTTAAAGTCTGTTTTATCAGAGTGTAGGATTTCAACCCCTGCTTTTTTTTGCTTTCCATTTGCTTGGTAGATCTTCCTCTATTTTGCCCATTAGTTGATGCAGTTTCTTCCTAGCATAAATGGTCTTTACAATTTGGCATGTTTTTGCAGTGGGTGGTACTGGTTGTTCCTTTCCATGTTTAGTGCTTCCTTCAGGAGCTCTTGTAAGGCAGGCCTGGTGGTGACAAAATCTCTCAGCATTTGCTTGTCAGTAAAGGATTTTATTTCTCCTTCACTTATGAATCTTAGTTTGGCTGGATATGAAATTCTGGGTTGAAAATTCTTTTCTTTAAGAATGTTGAATATTGGCCCCCACTCTCTTCTAATTGTAGGGTTTCTGCTGAGAGATCCGCTGTTAGTCTGATGGACTTCCCTTTGTGGGTAACCTGACCTTTCTCTCTGGCTGCCCTTAACATTTTTTCCTTCATTTCAACCTTGGTGAATCTGAAAATTACGTGTCTTGGGGTTGCTCTTCTCGAGGAGTATCTTTGTGGTATTCTCTGTATTTCCTGAATTTGAATGTTGGCCTGCCTTGCTAGGTTGGGGAAGTTCTCCTGGATAGTATCCTGAAGAGTGTTTTCCAACTTGGTTCCATTCTCCCCGTCACTTTCAGGTACACCAATCAAATGTAGATTTGATCTTTTCACATAGCCCCATATTTCTTGCTTTGTTCATTCCTTTTTACTCTTTTTTCTCTAAACTTCTCCTCTCGCTTTATTTCATTAATTTGATCTTCAATCACTGATATCCTTTCTTCCACTTGATCCAATTGGCTATTGCAGCTTATGCATGCATCACATAGTTCTCACGCCACAGTTTTCAGCTCCATCAGGTCATTTAAGGTCTTCTCTACACTGTTTATTCTAGTTAGCCATTCGTCTAATCTTTTTTCAAGGTTTTTAGTTTCTTTGCAATGGGTTCGAACATCCTCCTTTAGCTCAGGGAAGTTTGTTATTATTGACCTTCTGAAGCCTACTTCTGTCAGCTCATCAAAATGATTCTCCATTCAGCTTTGTTCTGTTGCTGGTGAGGAGCTGCGATCCTTTGGAGAAGAAGAGGTGCTCTGGTTTTTAGAATTTTCAGCTTTCTGCTTTGGTTTCTCCCCATCTTGTGTTTTTTTTTCTACCTTTGGTCTTTGATGCTGGTGACCTACAGTTGGGGTTTTGGTGTGGATGTTCTTTTTGTTGATGTTGATGCTTTTCCTTTCTGTTTGTTAGTTTTCCTTCTATCAGTCAGGTCCCTCAGCTGCAGATCTGTTGGAGGTTGCTGGAGGTCCACTCCAGACCCTATTTGCCTGGGTATCACCAACAGAGGCTGCAGAACAGCACATGTTGCTGCTTGATCCTTCCCCTGGAAGCTTCATCCCTGAAGGGCACCTGCCTGTATGAGCTGTCAGTCAGCCCCTACTGAATGGTGTCTCAGAGTTAGGCTACACGGGGGTCAGGGACCACTTGAGGAGGCAGTCTGTCCATTCTCAGAGCTCAAACACCATGCCGGGAGAACCACTGCTCTCTTCAGAGCTGTCAGACAGGGACGTTTAAGTCTGCAGAAGTTTCTGCTGCCTTTTGTTCAGCTATGCCCTGCCCCCAGAGGTGGAGTCTACAAAGGCAGGTGGGCCTAGTTGAGCTGTGGTGGGCTCTGCCCAATTCGAGCTTTCCCAGCCGCTTTGTTTACCTACTCAAGCCTCAGCAATGGTGGACACCCCTCCCCCTGCCAGGCTGCTGCCCTGCATGTCGATCTGAGACTGCTGCGCTAGCAGTGAGCAAGGTTCCGTGGGCATGGGACGTGCCGAGCCAGGTGCGGGATATAATCTCCTGGTGTGCGGTTCGCTAAGACCATTGGAAGAGCACAGTATTTAGGCGGGAGTGTCCAGATTTTCCAGGTACAGTCTGTAACGGCTTCTTTTGGCTAGGAAAGGGAAATCCCCTGACCCCTTGTGCTTCCTGGTGAGGTGAAGCCCCACCCTGCTTCAGCTCACTCTCCATGGGGTGCACCCACTGTCCAACCAGTCCCAATGAGATGAACTAGGTACCTCAGTTGGAAATGCAGAAATCACCATCTTCTGCATCAATCATGCTGGGAGCTGCAGACTGGAGCTGTTCCTATTTGGCCATTTTGGAATGGAAAACCTGGAAGACATTTTATGTAGAATTTTACATCTTTGAATAAGGAGAGTCTAAGAAAAAGAGAAAGTCCAGTTATTTTCCAAATCTTAAGTCAGATACAATGAAAATACTGGTGTATCAGGACCATTTGCATTGTTCAACTTAGTTATGAGGTGATTTCACTGGAAACAGATAAATCTAAAAATATGAAACAAAGATTTTCTCATACTTGCTTGTTTAAAAAATTGTGGTAAATATATATAACATAAACTTTACCATTTTAACCTATTTAAATTACAACTCAGTTGTAGTAAGTGCTTTCACATTATTGTACAACCGTCACCAACATTCATCACTGGAACTTCCCCCCCATTTAGTTGACACATGATTGACAAAAAAATTGTATATATTTAGGGCTTAAAGCATGATTTTTTTCATTTATCTATACATCTGTGAAATGATTACTATGATTAAGCTAATTAAGATATCCATTATCTCACATAGTTACCATTTGTGTGTGTGTGTGTGTGTAGTGAGAACACTTGAGATCTGTCTTGGAAAATTTCAAGAATCCAACACATTACTATTAACTATAATCACCATGCTGTACATTAGGTCTCTAGTTCTTATTTATTTTATAAATGAAGGTTTGTACACTTTGACTAATATCTTTGCTTTTTTTTCTCACCTCCAGGTAACCATCATTTTACTCTGTTATTATGAGTTAGACTATTTTTTTTTTTAGATTGCACATATAGGTGAGATAATACAGTATTTGTTATCTTATGTCTGGTTTGTTTCACTTAGCTTAATGTTCTCCAGGTTAATCCATATTGTCACAAGTGGCAGGATTTTCTTCTTTTTAAAGGCTGAATTTAATTTCCATATCTTAGCTCTTGTGAATAATGCTGCAATGAATATAGGACTGAAAATGTTTTTGTTTTTTGATAATAAGTTGTATGAGTTTCTTATATATTTGGGTGTCACCCCTTTACCACATATATGGTTTACAAATATTTCTCTTATTCATAGGATGTCTTTTCATTTTGTTGTTTCCTTTGCTGGACAGAAGGCTTTTATTTTCATATAGTCCTACTTGTTTATTTTTGCTTTTTTTTGCTCATGCTTTTGGTGTCAAATTGAAAAGACCATTGCCAAGGCCAAATACAAGTAGTTTCCCTCTATGCTTTGTCAAGGAGTTTTATAGTTTAAGCTCTTACATTTAAGTTATTAATCCATTTTGAACCCCTTTTTGTGTGTGCTGTAGGTCTTCCTTTCCTTTCTTTCTTTCTTTCCTTTCCTTTCCTTTCCTTTCCCTTTCTTTCTTTCTTTCTTTCTTTCTTTCTTTCTTTCTTTCTTTCTTTCTCTCTCTCTCTCTCTCTCTCTCTCTCTCTCTCTCTCTCTCTCTCTCTCTTTCTTTCTTTCTTTCTTTCTTTCTTTCTTTCTTTCTTTCTTTCTTTCTTTCTTTCTTTCTTTCTTTCTTTCTTTCGAGTCTCACTCCTGTTGCCCAGGTTGGAGTGCAATGGGGTGATCTCAGCTCACCACAACCTCTGCCTCCTGGATTCAAGCAATTCTCCTGCCTCAGCCTCCCAAGTAGCTAGGGCTACAGGTATGCACCACCTCACCCAGCTAATTTTGTATTTTTAGTAGAGATGGGGTTTCTCCATGTTGGTCAGGCTGGTCTCAAACTCCTGACCTCAGGGGATCTGGCCACCTCAGCCTCCCAAAGTGCTGGGATTACAGGCATGAGCCACCATGCCTGGCCCAGATTCTTTCTTTTCTTTTGTTTTAAACTGTGGCTTTTCAAGTTTCCTCACATTATTTATTCAAGAAACTGTTCTTTCCCCCATAGTGTATTTTTGGTGTCTTTGTCAAAAATTAGTTGACTGTCTATGCTTGGGTTTATTTATGGGTTTTCTATTCTGTTTTATTGGTCTATGTGTCTGTTTTTAATCCAAGTACCACACTTTTTTTGATTATTATAGCTTTATAATATGGTTTAAAATCAAGAAGTGTGATGTTTACAGCTTTGTTCTTCTTGCTCAAGATTGCTTTTGCTATTTGGGGTCTTTCATGGTTCAATACAAATTTTAGAATTTTTTTCCAATACTATAAAAAAAGTCATTGGAATTTTGATAAGGACTGCATTGAATCTATAGATTACTTTGGGTAGTAGGAGCATTTTAACAATATTGATTCTTTCAATATATGAATATAGTACATCTTTTTATTTATTTGTGTTTTCTTCAATTTCTTTGATCAATGTTTTGTAGTTTTCAGTGTAGAAATCCTTCACCTCTTTGGTTAAGTTTGCTCCTAAGTAATCCAGTCTTTTTGATGCTATTGTAAATGGGATTGCTTTCTTGATTTCATGGTTGGACAGTTGGGTGTTAGTATATAAAAGTACAACTGCTTTTTATATGTTGATTTTTGTGTCCTCCAACTTTACTTAATTTGCCTACTAGTTCTAAGAGTTTTCTGATGGAGTCCTTAAGATTTTTTTTTACGTAAGACTAAGTTATTTGCAAATAGAGAACATTTAACTGCTTCCTTTCTGATGTGGATATTTTTATTACTTTCTCTTGCCTAATTGCTCTTGCTAGGGCTTCCACACTATGTAAAGTAGGAATGGTGACTATGGACAACCTTGTTTTGTTCTTAAACTTAAAGGAAAAACTTTTAGCTTTTCACCATCAAATATAATGTTAGCTGTGGGCTTGTCATATATGGCTGTTATTATATTGAGGTACATTTGCTCTTTACATAATTTGTTGAGATCTTTCTTCTAATCCAGGAACAAATCCCACTTGATCATGGTGTATGATCTTTTTAATATGCTGTTGAATCTGGTTTGCTAGTGTTTTGTTGAGGATTTTTGCATTTATGTTAATCAGGGATACTAGCTTGAAAAGTAATTTTCTTTTCTTGTAGTGTTCTTGTCTGGCTTGGTATCAGGGAAATGCTGGCTTTGTAAAATGAGTTACAGAGTGTTCTCTCATCTTCAGTTTTTGGAAGAGTTTAACAAGGGTTGGTACCAATTCTTTTTTATGTACTTGGTAGAATTCACCAGTGAAGCCATCTGTTCCTGGACTTTTCTTTGTTAAGGAATTTTTTATTAATAATTCAATCTCTTTACTCATTATTGGTATATTCAGGTTTTCTATTTTTTCCTGATAATTTTTTGTAGGTTGAATGCTTTTAGGAATTTATTTCTTTTCTTCTAGATTATTCAATTGGTTGCTATATAATTGTTCATGGTAGACTCTTATCATCTTTTGTATTTCTGTAGTATCAGTTGCAATGTCTCCTTCATTTCTGATTTTGAGTCTTCCTTTTTTTGTCTAGCTAAAGGTTTCTCAATTTTATCTTTTTAAAAAAAAAAAGTCTTAGTTTTACCAATTTTTCCCAGTGGTTTTCTAATTTCTATTACATTTATCTCTGCTCTGATCTTTTTTATTTTCTCACTTTTGTTAAATTTGGGCCCAATTTGTTTTTCATCTAGTTCCTTGAAGTGTAAAGTTAGAAATTTTACTAAGTTTTACCAGTGAGTTTTACACTTTCATATATTTTTGTGTTGCTAATTAGTATTTTTTTCTTTCTGCTTAAGCACTCCCTCTAGTGTTTTTTATAAGGAAAGTCTAGTGGTGATGAACTCCCTCCCCTTTTGTTGGTTTGGGAGTCATTATTATCTCTCCCATTTCTGAAGGACAGCTTTGCCAAGGAAAGTATTCTTGGTTGGTAGTTTTTTTCTTTCAGCACTTTGAATATATCATCTTGCTCCCTCTTGGTCTTCAAGGTTTCTGATAGCCTTATTGAGGTTCCCTTGTGTGTAATACGCTTCATTTCTTTTCAAAGCTGTTTTCAAACTCTATTTGTCTTTGATTTTGCTTGATTATAATGATTCTTAAGGAAATCTTTGTGTTGAATCGATTTGAAATCTTTGAGTTTCATATACCTGGACATTCATAGATCTCCTCAGATTTGAAAATTATTCTGCCTGCATTTATTTAAACAAGCATTGTGCTTTTCTCTATTCTTCTGAAACTCTAATAATGGAAATATTAGGTCTCTTCATGGTGTCCCATAAATCATATAGGACTTTTTTCTAATTTTTTTATTCCTCTTTCTCCTCTGACTGGATAATTTTAAATAACGCATCTGTGAATTTGTTTATTCTTTCTTCCGTTCAGTTAAGTCTGCTGTTAAACTTCTTAATTGCATGTTTTAGTTGTCATTGTATTCTTCAGCTCAAAAATTTGTTTTTTTTTTAAAATATCTTCTATCTTGTTGAACTTTCAATTTTGTTTTTGCATTTTTCCTGATTTCATTAAATTATCTGCTTTATCATGTAGCTCACTCAGGCTTTTTAGAATAATTATTTTAAATTCTTTGATAGGCAGTTTGTGGATCTCCATTTCTTTGGGCTCAGTTAGTTGAAGTTTACTGTGTACTTTTGTTGTGCCATGTTTACCTGATTCTTTGTGATCCTTATAGCCTTGAGTAGGTGTCTGCACATTTGAAGAAGCAGTCAACTTTTTCAGATTTTATGGACTGGCTTCCCTAAGAAAAGTCTTTCATTTGAAGGAGTGGGGTGGGGCATGCTGGAGTCTGTTCTGGCACTGGATCTAGTAGTGTGCTGTGCCAAGTGTGGAGCTTGTGGTGGCTCCAGGTTTGGAGGGGATGTTTTGTGTCTCATCAGCTCAGACAGCTAGGATTCATGACATTAGCAACTGTGTGATCCTAGGCAGCAATAGCTGTAGGAGTTTCATGGTGGCAGCTAGGATTGTTGGGGACCTCAGTAGCTTCTCCAGGTTCAGCAATAAGGGATGGGAGCAGGCAGCAGGAATGGGGGCTTGGGCTGGCAGTATGCATGTGCTTGGCTTTAGAAGTTGGGTGCAGACTTGTGCATAGTGACAGAAGCTAGCTGTGGACACACATGTGTCACATGTGTGTCAGGGCTAGGGGAGGGGCTGGGGCCAACTGTGGACACATTCATTACTGGGAGTTGACAGTGTATGTCATACAGTTATAGGAGTTAGAGTTGGTGGTGTCTATGTGTGTGGCTGCAGGGCTAATTGCAGATTTGCTCACAGCAGTGAAGGCTGGTGACAGGTGTCAGGCTGCAGGGGTCCACCATGGGTGCAAGCACAGTGGTGAGTGCAGGCAATGGGGGGCAGGATCAGCTGTAAGTGCACATGCAGTGGCAACCAGTGAGACTGGCAGTAAGCAAGTATGTGGCTACATGGGCCAGCTATGGGCACATGCGTGGATGTGTGAGGCCTGGCAAGGGGGGTTGAGGCTGGCTGCACACGTGCACACGGCTGCACATGTGGCAATGGGAACTGGGGCCTGTGGTAGGGGCCCAGGCTACTTGTGGGCACGTACACTGCAGCTGTGCTATGTATCCAGGCCAGGGATTCCCCAGTAGTAGTGGCTGGGGGTGGCTCCAGGGAGAAGGGAGGAGAGGAATAGCAGCTCAGGCAGCTAGATAATGCAAAGGTGATAAACTTCAAGGCCCTTGGTGTTGAAAGCTAAAGGGGTCCCCTGTGGCTTTTCTGGCTGTTGCTTTCCTAGGCAGCAAAAGCTGCTGGAGTCCTCTGCAGAACAGACCACCGGGGTTTGTGATGGTGAACAGTGCAGCGTTCTCAGGAGTGAAATCTGTGGGGCATGCATGGTGGCCACCAGGGCTCTGGACGTCCTCAGTGGAAAAGGCTGCTGGTGTCCTGTGCAGAAAAAGTCCCTGGGACCCTGGCGGTTCCTGCAGCTTAACTGATAATGGTAACTCCCACCTTTTTGTGTCCCTAGTCATCACCGGATGTCTCAACAATGTTGGTCTCACCAGCAATCTGGGTGAGGTGAAACTGAGGTGGGTCACTTAGGCAGGGTCCTGAAAGGCTGGGGTAGCTGGTTGTTCACCTCACTGTGCTTTTTCCTGTGAGGGGAACTCCAGAGCTGGGGAGTTTCCATGTTGAGCAGTTCTGACCTAGTGAATGGGATGCTGTAGGCAAAATAAAACCATTTTTTTGTGCAGTTATTCTCAAGGTTTTGTGTGTTTTTTTTTTCTTTTTTTGCTTTACTGTGTTTCTATAGCTTTTTAAGTAGGCTCCTGGCTTTTCTATAGTGAATTTTATTCATGGATAGCTGTCCAATTGTTGTTCTTTATGGGGGAGAGGAGGGGTCGAGACAAAGACGGGGACCTCCCCTTCTGCTATCATGCTGACTTCTAGAACTTTTTCATCAACCCAAACCAAAACTTTGTATCCATTAAACAATTTCCTATTACCCCCTCCTCCCAACCACTAGTAACCACTATTCTACTTTCTGTCCCGATAAATGTGCTTATTTTAGCTATTTCATATGAGTAGAATCATATAATATTTGTCATTTTGTCTCTGGTTTATTTCATTTAGCATAATGTTTTAAAGTTTATCTATGTCATAGCATGTATCAATTTTTTTTAAATAGATTTTTAAAAAAGAAGTTTCAGACCTTTATTTGAAACCAGGATTTATCCTTTCAATTGCGAATTACGGGACATCTTTTTTGTGTTTAAAGGTATTTTATAAATTGCCAATTGCTTCTATTCACTTCACTTTCCCTTCAGGCCAAGCAAAGTAATCTCTGTACTTTCCATTCAGTTTCAGAAAATTCAGTGTCAGAAAACTGAATGGAAAGTATAGATACTTCCCATATTCCCTCTGCTTGCCCCTTCCAGAGCCTCCCCAACTATGAACATTCCACACCAGAGCAGTCCATTTGTTACAACTGATACATCTACAATGACACAACATTATCACCCAAAGTTCATAGTTTACCTTAAGGTTCACTCTCGGTGGTGTGCATCCTATGGCTTTTGACAAATGTATAGTGACATGTAGCCACCATTGTAGTATTGTACAGAATAGTTTCACTGTCCTAAAATTCTCTGCGCTGCACTTGTTCACTCCTCTTTCTCCACTAATATTTGGCAACCACCAATATTTTACTGTCTCCATAGTACTGACTATTCAAAAATGTCATATAGTTGGAATCCTATAGTATGTAGCCTTTTCAGATTGGCTTATTTCACATAGTAATATGCTTTTAAGTTTCTTCCATGTCTTTGTGGCTTCGTAGCTCATATATTTTTATCACTGAGGAATATTCCACTGTCTGAATGTACCACAATTTATTTATTCATTCACCTCTTGAAGGACATCTTAATTGCTTTCAACTCTTGGCAATTATGAGTAAAGCTGCTATAATCATTTAGGCAGATTTTTTGTATGGATGTCAGTTTTTAACTTTGTGGGTAAATACCAATGAGTGTGATTGTTAGATCGTGTGGTAAGAGTGTGTTTAGTTTTGTAAGAAACTGTCAAATTTTTTTCCAAAGTGGCTGTACCATTTTGCATTTGTGCCAGCAGTAAATGACAGTGCCTATTGCTCCATGTCTTTGGAAGTATTTGATGTTGTCAGTGTTTTGAATGTCTGCCATTCTAGTAGGTATACTGTGGTATCTCATTGCAGTTTTAATTTGCAAGTCCCTAGTGACACAGGATGTTGTACATCTTCTCATATGCTTATTTGCCATCTAGATATCGTCTTTGGTGAGGTGTATGTTCAGATATTTTGCTTGTTTTCTAATTTAATTGTTTGCTTTCCTATTGTTGAGTATAAAGAATTCTTTGTATATTTTATATACCAGTTATTTCAGATGTGTGTTTTGCAATTTTTTCTAGTCTGTGGCTTATCTTTTTATTCTCTTGATGCATCAGAATTTTATTTCTTTTTAGGGGTGAATAATTTTCTAATGCATGTTTATACCACACTTTGTTTATCCATTGATAGACATTTAGAATATTTTCACCTTTTTCTGCGAATAATACTGCTATAAATTTTGTTGTAAAAATGTCTGTTAAAGTCCCTGCTTTCAATTCTTTTGGGTATATAACCAGAAGTGGAATTGCTGGACATCTTTTTGCTTTTAAAAATTCTTCAGTAGTGTAACTAAGCAATTATTCTCAGTTTTTATTTCTGTGAGCAAAGTAGTCAGGTAGCATTCACAAAAAGACACTATTATAACAATCTTTGTTCTTCATGTAGCTTTATCATTTCTTGTTAGTAAGTGAAGAATTAATCAGCAGTCTGCCAGATTCAGGCAAGTAATTATGATTCTTGACTGCAAATGGCTTTGCCTGCATGGAAAGTGAAGTGAATTGAAGCAAATGACAATTTATAGAATACCTTTAAAAATAAAAGAGATGGCCCATAATTCCCATTTGAAAGGATAAATCCTGGTTTCAAATAGAGTGCTGATAAAATAGATTAGAATAAAAAGACCTGCAAAAGCACCACAGAGAATCCAGATGGAATCTCATCCCTTGCTTCTTTATAATCTACAAATACCTAACAGCAGTAGGACAGTATCATTGTATTTTCTATGCAAAAAGTATAATTTTCTATTTTATTCTCAAAATGTCAGGAAACAGGCAGAGGAACTCATGGAGATTTGCAATCTCAATATATGAAAAAAGACAATTATTATAGATATGCAGCCTTCAACCAGGGTAACATTTCATCAGGTGTGCATGGATACTGGATTAAGTGAGTTTATGATCTGAATGTAAAGCATGTATTTTGCATATGGGGTCTAGAAAAGAGTTATGACATTCCCACTTAATATCTTCTAAAAATGAAATATGCTTAAGCATATTTAGTTAAGCAATATAACTAAAGTTTATATTGAAAATATCATTCTTGTCAGATTCTTGACTATTATCTTAGTTTAACTATGGTTAAATGCTTACCTTCAACAAATACTTCGAGGTCTTTTGGCTTTATTGCTAAATTCCTTTAAACTCTTAAAGAGTATATATTCTCTATAATATAAAATATGTTTCATGTTATAGAAAAAGATAAGAAAAATGAACTAAATTAAACTGAGCATTCACTTGATATTGAAACCTGACAAAGGTGTTCTGCAATGGGATATCATGCTTGTGAGCATAAAGTCTGGAGTTTACTCAGCAAATGAAAGTAGTGTGAAAGAATAGTCCAATACAATGAGGTGGATTTTATCCCAGAAATGGTTTAACTTATGAAAAGTTATTGGCTAAGCATGGTGGCTCACACCTATAATCCCAACAATTTGGGAGGCCAAAGTGGGAGAATTGCTTGAGGCCAGGAGTTTGAGACCAGCCTGGGCAACATAGTGAGACTCTGTCTCTACAACAACAACAAAAAATTAGCCAAGTGTGGTGGCTCACTCTTATAGTTCCAGCCACCTGGGAGGCTGAGGGAGGAAGATCTTCTGAGCCCAGGAGTTTGAGGCTTCAGTGAGCTGTGATTATACCACTGCACTCCAGCCTGGGAATGGAGCAAGACCTTGTCTTAGGAAAAAAAAAAATTCCTTTGGATGACTGAAAATAAAAAAGAAAAAGTTACTAATATTTTATGTTGCTGTAATAGGTCAACCCACAAAACAATAAATAAATAATATTTTCAGCATCTGCTAGAAAAAGCATATGATAAAATTCAATCTCCATTCCTTGTTTAAAAACATTTTTGAGTAACTCAGATTTTCTGTCCCCATTCTTAATACTTGTTTAAACAAGAAACGTTTTGATGACACATATTAAGAAATTTAAAACCGCAGCGAAGTGTTCATTGCTGTCCTATGACTTCCATAGTTTTCTCATTCAGAAAGCTAGAACGTGTCTGGGGCAGATCAGTAAATCTCATTTTGAAATTAGCTCACAAAGTTCTTCTCTCATCTCTCCTCTGTTAGTCAGGTTCTCAGACTGAGCAGAAGGTTCAGAGAGAATGGATTGAAAACATTATTCACTTCTGATCTACAGTTCTTCTGACTGGTTTTCAAGATTTGAAATTTGTTGTTATCCTTTCTTACTCTCAAGCCCAAGCAGCAGTGAAAACATTTAAGAATTTAATTTTGTAACATGATTTTCCTAAAGATTGAGTTTCCTTTTAAGTCCAAGAATCATGTCATGTAAGGTCAAAACATTTTCTTTAGACTTTGCAGGGACTTGTTTAATTGGTTTATGTGATAAAAATGCCTGCCAGGGAGGCTGGTTTCTGCAGCCATTTTTCATCTTTAAGGCATGCAAAAAAACTCTGGGCTACTATCTTCTTAAAACTGCCTTTGTAATTTAACTTTCAACTCAAACAACTTGTTTAAAAACACTCTTTAAGCTAAGCCAACAGATTTCTCTATGTAGCAGATTTATGTGTTTTTAGTTTATGTGTTCACACTGTTTTTCTTTTCTTTAACCAAACTGGTCTTTGTTTAATAAAGTTACAATCATCCAGATCATTTTTCATTTCATTTCTGAGAATCTTTTTTAGATTCAGAGGATATATGTGAAGAGGGTACATTGCTACATGAGTATATTATTTGATACTGAGGTCTGGGATACAAATGGTCCCATCACCCAGGCAGTGAGCATAGTACCTAATAGGTAGTTTTCAACCTTGCCCTGCTCTTTCCCCAACTCTGACAGTCCCCTGTGTCTATTGTTCCCAACTTTATGTCCATTTGTACCCAAAATTTAGCTCCCACTTATAAATGAAAACATGCAGTATTTGGTTTGCTGTTCCTGCATTAATTTGTTTAGGATAATGGCCTTCAGCTGCATCCATGTTGCTGCAAAGGACATGATTTTGTTTTTCCTTATGACTGCATAGTATTCCATAGTACACACACACACACACACACACACACACACACACACACACACACCTATCAATCACATTTTCTTTATCCAGTCAACTGTTGACAGGTACCTAGGTTGAATCCATGTCTTTGCTATGGTGAATAGTGCTGTGATGAATATATGAATGCAAGTGTGTTTTCAGTAGAATGATTTATATTCCTTTGGGTATATACCCAGTAATGAAATTGCTGGGTCAAATGGTAGTTCTATTTTTAGTTCTTTGAGAAATCTCCAAACTGCTTTCCATGGTGGCTGAACTAATTTACATTCCCATCAACAATGTATAAGCCTTCCCTTTTCTCCACAGCTTCACCAACATCTGTTATTTTTTGATTTTTTAATAACAGCCATTCTGTCTCATGTGAGATAGTATCTCATTGTGATTTTAATTTGCATTTCTTTGGTGATTAGTCATGTGGGACATTTTTTTCATGTTTGTTGGCTGCTTGTATGTCTTTTTTTTGGAGAAATATCTGTTTATGTCCTTTGCCTACTTTTTTTTTCATCAACTTTTATTTTAAGTTCTGGGGTACATGTGCAGATGTGCAGGTTTGTAATATAGGTAAACATGTGCCATGGTGATTTGCTGCACAGATCAACCCATCACCTAAGTATTATCGCCTAAGTATTAAGCGCAGCGTTCATTAGATATTCTTCCTGATGCTCTCCCTCTCCCCTCGCCCGCTGAACAGGCCCCAGTGTATGTTGTTCCCCACCATGTGTCCATGTATTCTCATCGTTCAGCTCCCACTTATAAGTGACAACCTGCAGTGTTTGGTTTTCTGCTCCTGTGTTAGTTTGCTGAAGATAAAAACTTTCAGTTCCATCCATGTCCTTGCAAAGGACATGAACGAATTCCTTTTTATGGCTTCATAGTATTCCATGATGTATATGTACCACATTTTCTTTATCCAGTCTATCATTGATGTCTTTGTTCATTTTTTTTTAATGGGGCTATTTATTTTTAGCTTGTTGAACTCTGTAAGTTCATTATAGAGTCTGGATATTTGACCTCTTTTGGATGGCATAGTTTACAAATATTTCTCCCATTCTGTAGTCTGTCTGTTTACTCTATTGACAGTTTCTTTTGCTTTGCAGAAGCTTTTTAGTTTAAGTAGATCCCACTTGTCAATTTTTGTTTTTGTTGCAATTGCTTTTGAGGAATTAGTCACAAATTCTTTGCCAAGGCTGATGTTCAGGGAGCTATTTCCTAGGTTTTCTTCTAGAATTTTTATAGTTTTTAGGTGTTACATTTAAGTCTTCAATCTATCTTGAGTTAACTTGTGTATATGATGATAGGGAGATGTCCAGTTTTATTCTTCTGCAAATGGCTAGTCAGTTATCTCAGGACTATTTCCAAGACTACTTAACACCAGAATACCTCTGTGAAGAAAGAAGTATGTTGCGACAAATAATTTTCATGTTTTTTACAAGAGAGACAAAACAGCAAACGGATATGGATATATAATTAATTGAAGAAACAACATCAGTACAGATGTCAATACAGATGATTTATTTCTAGATATAAAGACAAAACATTAAATATCTCTTGGGCATTGCTTGTTTCAGACAGCTCTTGCAGCAGAAATAATTTCTTGGGTTTCATGAGTGTACACAATATTTTACAAATGCTGTACACCATGGCATTTACTAGTTAAATCTGTTGATTTACCAAATTAGCTGGCAAAGCCACACCTTTTTGGTTTATTACACAAAATCTCTTGAAGTTTGTGTAACGTGTGATCAATATGTTGACTTATTTGAGATTGGAGCTTTTTCAATTTCTCCAAATGTTTCACCAACATTGCCATCACCCCAAAAAGTTTTCTCATGCCCCTTTGCAATTAATCCCTTTCCCTCATCTCAGGCTCCTCGCAATCTGTTTTCTTTCACTCTAGATTTCACTCAAAATTCCATATAAATGGACTTACAGAGTATGCAGTCTTCTATGTCTGTTTCTTTCACTTGGTATATATAATAATTTTTAGATTCATCTATGTTTTTATGTGTACAGAAGTACCTTCTTTTTTATTGTGGAGTAGCATTTCATTTTATAAATATGCCACACTTTGCTTATCTATTTGCTAATTGATTGACATTTCGATCGTTTCTAGTTTTCGTCCTTCCAATTTCTATATACATTTTGTAGACGTAATGCATTTTTTCCTCTGGATAAATATTTAGGTAGGGATTTCTATGTTTTATTGGAAGTGCATGTATATGTTAAGAAACTTGCAAACTATTTTCTAAAGTGTCTTTATCATTTTGCATTCCCATCAACAATCTATGAGTGGGTTTAGTTTCTTCATATGTTTGCCAACACTTAGTGTTGTCAATGTGTTCAATTTTTAGCATTTTAATGGTTATATAGTGATACTTCATTTTGGTTTTAAATTTTTATTTCCCTAAAGATAACATTAATCATTGTCTCATGTGCTTATATGTTACTTATATATGTATTTGACCATGTGTTTGTTCAAATATTTTTCCTATTAAAAACACTAGGTTGTTTGTCTTTTCATTATTGAATGGTATGGATTTTTTATATTTTCTGTATACCTGTCAATTTTCCAATATATGCATTGTAATAGTTTCCTCCAATTTGAGTTGTCTCTTTATTTCTTAATATTATTTTTTAGAGGGCTAAAATTTTAGCTTTAATGAAGTCTATTGTATCATTTTTTCTTATAGTTTATTATTTTTGTGTGCTTTAATGTAAGAAAATTTGCCTAATTCAAGATCGCAAGGATTTTCTCTTGCATTTTCTTCTAGAAGTTTTATAGTTTTAGCTCTTACATTTGGTAGTATGATCTAATTCATATGAATTTCTGTATGTAGTCCAAGGTTAGAGTTGAGATTCATTTGATTGCATATATATATGGAATTATTCTTAACAGCTTGCTGAAAAGATCATTCTTTCCGCAGTTGAATTCCTTGGCACTTTTGCTGAAAATAAACTTATTTTGTATATGTAGTTTTCTTCCTGGACCTATGTTTTTGTTACATTGGTTTATATTTACCTATATGTCAGGATTTCACTTATGTTCATTATAGCTTTATAGTAAATCTTGAAGCTAGTTAGTATAAGTCTTCCAATTTTGCTTTTTGTTTTGAAGCTGTTTGGATACTTTAAGTCCTTTGCATTTCCATATACACTTACAACATGCTAGTCAGTTTCTAAAAAAAAGTCTTCTGGAATTTTGATTGGAATTGTGCAAATCTGTATTTCCATTTAAGGGGAATAAATACCCTAACACTATTGAATATTATAACCCATGAATACAGAATATATCTATATTTTGGAGTTCTTTAATTTCTCTCAGCAATGCTTTGTAGTGTTCAGTGAATAGGTATTACACATATTTCATTTAGTTTATTTGTAATTATTTCATACTTTTGATGATGTAGATGGCATTGCCTTTCAAATTTCAACTTCCAAATGTTCACTGTTAGTATATAAAAATACAGTTGATTGATGTCGATCAACCATGTATCTAGGATAACTCAAAGTCAGGATCTAAACAGGTTACTAAACTCACTAATTGATTCTAGTAGCTTTTTCATAGATTCCTCAGCATTTTGTACAAAGGTGATCATATCATCTGCAAATAAAGACAAGGGAGATGAAAAGCCAGAAAATGTAAAAATAAACAGAAAATGTTACAGAACAATCAAAATGGGAATAAACCTAATAAATGTCACTGAAATACACTGAAAACATTGAATAAATCTCATGAAATTAATTGGAAAAGAATATGAATAGAAACATGATTATAAAAAAAGTGATAAATATGGAAAGTGATAAGAAGATCCAACTTCCATATAAGCAGTATTCAAAGAGAATCAAGCCAATGGAATAGAAAAAGGTTTATATAGTTTACTATGTTCCACTTTATGTACATCTACTTAATTCATCTTCTTATGTTGTTTAAATGACCTTTTATTGAAGAAACTCTAGCTTCTGTTTAAGTATAGCTTTGGAGTTAGGATCACTTGGTTCAAATTGTTGCTCATTTTTGTTACCAGCTCTGTGTCTTTGGGAACATTATCTCATCTGGGTCACTTAGTTGTCTTATTTGTCAAGAGAAGAAAATAAAATACCTATCTATAGGCTTGCTCTGATTATTATTATTATTATTATTATACTTTAAGTTCTGGGATACATGTGCAGAATGTGCAGGTTTGTTACAGAGGTACATTGAAAACATTGTACTAAACAAGCCAGCTTAGTCAATTCACTTGAGGAATGTCCATCAAAACATATGCTTGACACTGATTTTAGTGATTTCACTTTTGTTTTTTTTTAAAGTATATTTTAAGTTCCAGGATGCATGTGAGGAATGTCGAGGTTTGTTACATAGGTATACATGTGTCATCGTGGTTTGTTGCACCCATCAACCCATCATCCACATTAGGTATTTCTCCTAATGTTATCCCTCCCCTCCCCTAGCTCCCCAACACCCTGACAGGCCCCAGTGTGTGATGTTCCCCTCCCTGTGTCCATGTGTTCTCATTGATCAACTCCCACTTATGAGTGAGAACATGTGGTATTTGGTTTTCTGTTCTTGTGTTAGTTTGCTGAGAATGATGGTTTCCAGCTTCATCCATGTCCCTGCAAAGGACATGAATGCATCCTTTTTATGGCTACATAGTATTTCATTGTGTATGTATGCTGCGTTTTCTTTTTCCAGTCTATCACTGATGGTCATTGGGGTTGGTTCCAAGTCTTTGCTATTGTGAACAGTGCTGCAATAAACATACGTGTGCATGTTTAAATAAAATACTTCACATGAAGTGCTTAGTATTGTGCTTGACACAAAAGAAGAATACAATCAATACTATACTATGAAGTATCTTTTCTTGGTCTCTTGTATTTTAGTTAGGAACATTTCTGAAAATGGCAGCAAATAACCTTACTCAAGTGGCTTAAATAATAATGGAAAATTGATTGGATCTTGAAGAGAATAGGGAATGAGTTTAGCCAGGGTGAAAACTATGAGTTCAGGACTTTTTTTTTTTTTCTCTCTCTCTCTCCTTTTTGAATGAGCTCCTTTGGTGTTGGTTCTGTTTTGGGCAGAAGTTCCCCTGATGGTAGTAAAATTGTTATCAGCAGCTTCCCAAATTTCTCATTCACATGGAAATAAAAGAGTAAATTTTTTTTTCTAATCTAAATGTTGCACAGAAATAACAGCTTCCTTATGCATTGATCAATTCAGGTCACAAGTCCATCCCTGAACTAATCACTATGAATGAAACATGACCCATAGATATTAAGGTAGAATAATTTTCTTTGAAAGGATTTGGTTGTGTGAGGGCAGACAATAAATTCTGTTACTATTACTAAGAGAAGCAGCAGCCCAGAACAGCAATTATCTATGACAAATTTTATCCCATTCATGTTGTCTCTTCTAAATTGAGATCACAAGATTTCCTTATCATGCAGAGAACTACTCTTTATCTATATTCTGGGTAATTCCTCTCTTTCCTTTGGGTGAAGTATGTTTTTTTATCTGCCTTTTGCATATATGTTTTGTTTTCCTTTTTTTCGGCACAGCTTTTATGTATTAGTCCCATGCTGGTTTCTTTCTTTTTCTTTCTTTCTTTCCCTCTTTCTTTCTTTCTTTCTTTCTTTCTTTCTTTCTTTCTTTCTTTCTTTCTTTCTTTCTTTCTTTTCTTTCTTTCTTTCTTTCCTTCTTTTTTTTTTGAGACGGAGTCTCATTCTATCACCTAGGCTGGAGTGCAGTGGCACAATCTCGGCTCACTGCAACCTCTGCCTCCCAGGTTCAAGTGATTCTCCTGCCTCAGCTACCCATGTAGCTGGGATTACAGGCACGCGCTGCCACACTCAGCTAATTTTTTTGTATTGTTAGTGGAGACGGGGCTTCACCATGTTAGCCAGGCTGGTCTTGAACTCTTGATCTCAAGTGAGCCGCCTGCCTTGGGCTCCCAAAGTGCTGGGATTACAGGCATGAGCCACAGTGCCTGGCTGGTTTTTTTTTTTTATAGTTATTACTCATCCTCAAATGGATGCCAGAAACATGCTAATACATACATACACATGTACATACATACATACATACATACATATTGTAGTTAGGAATGGTTGAGGATGACAGCAAAGTATTTAAATCATCAGCTCTGTGTTGCAGTTTGACTATAACCGTTTCCCCTCCCTCTTTCACCCCACTTCACCTCCAGAGGTCTCCCTTAGCTAGAACACCACATTGTGAATCTCTTCTTTCTCTCTCTCTCTCTCTCTCTCTCTCACACACACACACACACACACACACACTCCTCACCTACTCTTCCCCTACTTCTCACAGCATGATTTGACTTTCTACTGCATTTTTCCTGCATTCCGAGTCATTATCCTGGGTCTCCCTAAGGACACCCCCCTCTCACCATTCTCAAAGCCTCTTTATACCCAAAGAGCTCAACACTCTAATCAAAGGAATTTTTAGGCTACTGGTGACATAAACTTCTTGGGAAACTAGTTGTCTTGGTCTAGCTCTTAGGAGTCTCTCTTCTCTCATCTTCGTCTAGACTTCCCAGTGCTTGGCAGATATGCCTCCTAGTTTGTGGCTTGTGGTTGTGTCCTGTTCCAGGTCTCACTGAAGATAGATTATTTTTCCTCTACTTTTTTTGTTTGCTTTTGGTGGAGTTTGAGGGAGTGGAGAAGAGTAAAACATCTTCTACTTCCCTTTCTTTAACCAAAAATCTTCAGAATTCTTTCAGTCAATTTGAGATGTTCACTTGGATGTCCCCCAGACACATCAAAACTAACATGTTAAAAAATGTAAACATATTCCTTTCTGCCTTGTACCACAAGCCTTTTCCTTCTTCAGTTTTTCTTATCTCAGTCAGAAGAACCACCATGCCCCTGTTGCCTTGATCCGGGAATGCTGGAGATTTTCCGGACTTCTTTCTCTTTCATACTTACAACACCTAATGGTTGTCACGTCTTGTATATTTTATCTCTTCTATACCTTTCAAGCTCATCCCTCTCTCTCAGTGCCCACTGCCATTTCTGTTTTTTTTGTTTGTTTGTTTTGTTTTGCTTTGTTTTTTGTTGAGACAGAGTTTCGCTCTTGTCACCCAGGCTGGAGTGCAATGGCCTGATCTCGGCTCACCACAACCTCCACCTCCCGGGTTCAAGCGATTCTCCTGCCTCAGCCTCCCGAGTAGCTGGGATTACAGGCATGCGCCACCACAGCCGGCTAATTTTGTATTTTTAGTAGAGATGGGGTTTCACCATGTTGGTCGGGCTGGTCTTGAACTCCCGACCTCAGGTGATCCGCCCTCCTTGGCCTCCCAAAGTGCTGGGATTACAGGCATGAGCCACCATGCCCGGCCTGCCCACTGCCTTTTCTAAGATGCCACCTCTTTGTATTAGGTTGGTGCCATTACTTTTAATGGCAGAAACCGCGATTACTTTTGCACCAACATAATAATTATCGCAATTACTGCTCTCCTCCAGGACTGGCTGGCCTTGATGTTGTTTGACCATTTTTCTGCTGTGTTAGAATGCTAAAGAATAGATAGGAGAGAAATGGGAGAGGTATACAGTATAAATTGTCTCTTCCAAATCTGTTCTTGAGCAACTTTCAGAAAAATCACAAATGTGTCTCTGATAGTGGGTTCTTTATAACATGATAAAGTCTACACTTTTGTTCTTAAGAAGAATGATATACTTAACTACGTTCTTAAAAACAACAAAAGGTTCTCATTTTTCTGGTATGTTAGCAGTGATGGCAGGAGGGTGGAGTCCTGGGGACCAATTCAGCAGTACAGCCAAGGGAAAAAATAAAGCTTCAGTCAGTCTTTCAGCAGGCCAGGGAAAATTATTGCTAGAGGACACCTAGTGGCGCTTTGTAGTAATTCACTTACACTAACAAATTGTACATTTGAATATTAAGAGCACTCACTATACCAGGAACTTGTCAACAAATATAACACAACCATGATAAAACAGCAAAGTACAAACCAAGCCTGGTGTTAAATCTAGTTGTATTGGTTGGTATGGGCTAACTGCTGTAACAAACAACCTCCAAACTTAAGGTGCTTAACTTAATAGAGTTTATTTTGTGTCCTCACACAGTACGGATGCTCAGCTGGTGACCTTCCATACAATAACACAGAAAAAACACTTGATCGCATGGAAAACAATGTACCTTATACTTGTATAGGAATATTTAACATCATAAATACATCACTTCTCAAAACAGAACAAATAAAACAAAATACAACATTGTATGTAGAAATGGGCATGGAAAATTGGCAAGACTCATTGAACTACATTTAAGAGCTATGTAATTCACTATACATAAATTTTACCTCAATTTAAAAATGAATTTTTTTTTCCAAAAGAACATCCAGTAGAAAGCTGACAAAAAATAGCAATAAAGGTTAAGGGTAGGGGACACACCATATGTTAAAACTCATGAAATCCCAATAATTAAAAGAGAGTGGTACTATAATTTTAAAAAATTACTAAAAAGGAGAGAGATTGGTATGGGCATGAGAGTAGGCAGGTTAACGAGCTAGAACAGAAAACCCAGATATGCCCAAGTGCATACAGAAATGTAATAAAAAATAAAGTAGTCATCAGAAATCCAGTCACCTATTCAATGAATGTATTTGGGATAACTGTAAATATCTGTATTCTGCTTGGAGAAAGGAAGAAAAGAAGGAAAGAGAAACAAAAGTTATTCATGCTTGAGAAAAATCCCCTCAAGCATTGTATTAGTCAGGGTTCTTCAGAGAACAGAACCAATAGGATGTGTGTGCATATATGTAAGGAATTTATTATGAGGAGCAGCTCATGAAATTATGGAGGCTAAGTCCCAAGGTCTGCAGGGTGACTCAGGAAGCTGGAGACCTAGGAGAGCTAATGATACAATTTCAGTGTTAAGGCTGGCAGGCTAGACACCCAGGAAGAGCTGATTTTTCAGTTCAACTCTGAAAGCAGGAAAAAGCTTACATCCCAGTTTAAGGCAGTCAGGCAGAAAGAATGCTCTCTTATTGGGGGCGGGTCAGCCTTTTCTTCTATGCAGGCCTTCAGTTGATGGGATAAGGTCTTCCCTCATTAGGGAGTATACTCTGCTATACTCAGTCTACCGATTAATCTCATGCAAACACCTTCACAGATACACCCAGAATAGTGTTTAACTAAATATCCAGGCATCCTATGGCCCACTGAAGTTGACACATAAAATTAACCATCACAGTCATCATAAAAGATTTACATTCTCTGACATTTTATTCTCTTTCCTGAAATCTTGCTGTCACAAAGGATCATAATATTTGACCTGAAAAGGATGATAGAAGAGATATTTATTGCAGAATTTTGCAGCTATATTTTTAACATACACATGGAATTTCTCCTCTACTTCTTGCTGAATACAGGTAAGCCTCAAATCTATGACATAATATTTTTTAAATGAAAAAACATAGAGAAACTCTTGCTCTTTTCATCTGACAGAAAGGCATCAAATCATGTCACCTCTGGTTGCCCACTAAATTAAAAAGACCACTTGCCATTGATTGTTGCATTTTAGGATCCTATCTATTCCTGTGTTAGCACACTCCTGACCAAAAGGACACACACTGTTCCTCATTCTCTTTTTTCTATAATGGGTTTGCATTTGATCTATGCTTTGGGTGATTAATGGTGGTTAGTTAACTTTGATATTTAGCTTGATATTGATATTATGTATTGATATTATATCAATATCTGATATTGAGCTTACTCTGATATTTCAGTGAGTGCAACAGAAATCACTCCAAGGTAGGTGAAAGTATGGAATCATAAATATATTCTTGAGCTTAATATGACATTCATGTTTGAATCCTGCATGGTCCAAAATTGTCCAAATGATCTCACAATTGGAAAGGCTCTTCAAGAGGTAGAATTTGAACAGAAGGCTTTCTGAGTATGTCAACCAGTGTCACTTTTAAACCTAAGGGCACCTTTCTGCAGAGCATTGTAGTCCTGGGGAAAGGAAGAACTTAACTGCTAACAGGGATCACCTCGGCATGGTTTAGCTAATTGATATCAATGGCTCACATGATTCACTGATTTTACATCTGCTTTTTTCCTTTGAAGCAATTCAAAACCATATTATTTGGTGTCTTAATTGAATCAAGCTAAAAGAAAGTCTTTCTGATTTTTACAGAAAAAAATCAATAACCAAAGATAACTGCTGAGTTAAGGCAGCATTCCATCCTCCATGTCTCATAATGAGAATACATTAGCAAATAAAATGATCAAGAATGAGCCTTTTAAATGACAAATGGCTTTGTAATACTAAGTCTTAATTACCATGACTAAGACACATGCCCATTACACCAGAAACATTCTTTGTTCTTCCAGTTTTCTCACAGTGCAAATTGTGTGTATTTATATGTGAACTGGAGAAATTAATCACTGCCTTTCTTCACTGGCAACTGTTTTCTCTCCCTATCCAGCAACCATCATTGGAAGATTGGAGATAAAATAATGAGTCCTTATAAGAACAGTGAAACTGGAGTCTCTCTTGTGCTTACCCAAGAAGCAGCTGTTGAAAGGTAATGTAGTTCCTCTGTTTTTCTGGTAGGTCCCAGGTGGGGAATAGAACTAACCCCTGCTCTGCAGGGCAATGGATCTTGATGTTTCCAGGAAGGAAAACTAAGTAGTTATTAGGCAATAAAGAAAAATATTTCCTTCCTGAGTATAGGTTTACATTGCTCTGTCCCTGAAAATTGATATCACCACAAGATAGGACTGTATATATTTGATTTAAAAGGTTCAATAGTTAAGGAAGTAGGAATGTCTGCATTTCACATTTCTCTATATTGTTTACTGTTATAATTCAAGTCTCCAGAACAGAATAATGTCCAGTAGGTGTAAAATATTTTTTGTTATGTAAATGAACACTTTATTTTGTAGATGAAGATTCATACCTGATACAAACTACAATTCATATATACATTAAATAAAACATTCATATTGAATGCACCCATGTAAATGTTTTGGTAAATTAATCAAAGTTAATTTCACACTGTGAATTATTATTGTTTTTTTCTGGAGTTTTCGTTTGCCTCCAGCAGAGTGACTTAGAGTCTCCCCTTCACCAACCCTGCCCTCCCCACCATGAAATTCATTTCACAGGCAGGAGGTGATGCTGTGATTGAAGAGAATTTCCCATCTGCATATGTTGGGGTTAGCATAAGAATGCTGCAGTTAGAGGATGCTTATAGATGCCCTAAAAGCCTCTGTCATAGCAGTGGCCAAGAGGTAGGTTGTGGTCTGTTTTGGTGGTCAAAAGTATTATATTATTGACCTTGTTTAGAACTGCCAGCACATGGTGATGATAAAAATCAGGCCAACTTTTAATCAGTTTTATTATGGTTTTAAAATTATCTGTAGACTGCCCCTCCTTACTGTCAGCTCCCAGGCTGGATGGTCACTGTTTTATAAGTTCCTATTTCTAAGCCTTTTGATGTGTTCCTATGAGTCAAGTGCACTGTAAACTCTCAGAAGAGCTCAGGGGAGCATCGATCTATCTCAGTCTCACTCCACTCCCTAGATGGGGTTCTGATATGGAATACAACGTGGGACCACTGAAATAGAGGCAGAAATTACAGTGTGAGGAATAAAGGTTAAAGTGGAACTGGATACAGGCAACAGTTTCAACCATCTTTCTCTGACCTCTCTGCTTTTATATCTATTAGGATCTTTTCATAAAAAGATACTTTGGATCTCTGTATTTGCTGCCTGGGCATTGAAAAGCCAGTGGACCTTGGGTGCTACCTGTATCTAACTCTACTAAAGCAGGAAGGCCCAGGGCAGCTTGCCAAGAGTGATGGTTAATTTTAGTTGTCAAATTGGCTGGACCACAGTGCCCATATGTTTGGTCAAACATTATTCTGGATGTTTCTGTGAGGATGTTTTTAGATGAGTAACATTTATATCATTAAAGTTAATGTTAATTGTTGGATTAACATTTAAATCAGAGC